>NC_000009.12:65130082-65325123 GCF_000001405.40 Homo sapiens | reverse complement strand
GAATTCTAATATTTTGGAGAGGTAAATGCATTTAAAACATTGCACATTACCTTGTGAAACTAACATTGTATTAGTTACATTTAGGCATGGAAATGCAAAAACAAATCTGTAATTCTTCTGTCATATCATTTTTATGCCTCACAAACTCATAGCCAAATAACCCCAATTTCATATGTTAAAAAAGCTTTCATAAGGTCAATAATATAATATCTTGAAAAATATTTCAGTTTAAAAAGAATTTTCAGTACTATAGGATCATTCAGAGGCAGATGCCTTGCCAAAAATATATCATTGTTAAGTAGATTTACTGCTTAATGGGAAGAGATTTGTTGCTGCATGTTAGATGGCATTTTTCATGTAACATCTTTTATGTATCCCCACAACAGGAGGTGTTAATTACAATTCATTCAACAAATATTTCTTGAGCCTTTGTGCCAGGCACCATTCCAAGGTCTGTTAGCAGCCTCATTCTCTAGAGGCAGAGTATATAACAATAGGACTTGTTGTAGCCTCAGGCCAAGATGAATTATGAAAAAAATATTAAACTTGATCTTTTGGCATGGAATGATTTTTGATACAATACTTGTCAAGTTCTGTGACTTCCATAATTGCAGAGTGGGTCTGCAGTTGAATTGAACAAGATTTTGCCTGAAGTAGAAGTATCATTGCCATGATTTTATTTCAGTTTTGTTTTCCTCAAAATAGAATTTGCTGAACTTTTAGAAGGAAAAAATGTTTCTTCTATAGACCTAATCAAGCGTGTTAAATAAAATTATTACCTGCTTGCTCTGAGGTTCCAAACTATTCAGATACCCCTAATGATCATCTCCCCATGAATTATGAAACTGGTTTGGCTCTGATATATGGTTATTGACATTTGTGTAGCATTGTACACAGACTGATTTTATGTGGCATAAAAGATTTCACAAAGGCTTTAAAATTATGTTCATTTTACTTGATGGGTGTGTGTTCAATTAAAAAAAAAAGTCCCTGTGATTGTATATAAAATATAGTATCCTGTGATGATGAGGGTGTTAGATTTAGTTTCGTCCTTTATAAATGAAAATAGCCATCTCCCATAATTATTATGAAAGCTAAATGAGAAAAATGTATATAATTTATAAAGTTAGATTCAAGGATTTAATTCATTTGTAAAGTTGGCTTCAAATATAGAGTATTACTATAATCTAGTTGCCTCTAAACCTCAGTAGCCAGCTTTTTATTGTGACAGGGAACCTCTATTGAGGTTTGAGGTAATGAGGGTAAAAGTGTAATTTCCCAGAGAAGAAGCTTGTGATGTTGATGACGTTAGGGATGTAAACAGGATTATGAGGGGGAAAAAAAAAAAACAGACAACAAAACTTGCCTCCAGAGAGATGGAAACTACCACTTGGGCTCTAAGTCAGTGTCAAAATATTTTTTGGAGTTAGCCTGACTCTGGAGAGGTCAGTAAAATAAACAGTTGCACTGAGAGGCCAGATTAGCAAGTATGGGTTTCTAAATGATAAACTGCTTTTTGGCTAGAATCAGGGCTGAATCAGCCTTCCCACCACTTATTTGTTTCTAGGGTGTTTGAAAGGCCTAGTACTGAGTTCACGTGGTGCATGATTGTGGGCTGGGGTGCAGGGAAGTATTTTAGATTCTAATATGGGGGTTTGGTGTGAAGGGAAGTATATTAGATTCTAAGAAACTATATTTCAGTGGTTATCCTTTTTTTAAAATAAGTAATAATGAATATTTAGAACCAGAACAGTTTTGTAAGAAGGAAAATACCTAAAATCTGAACTGTAATCTTCTATGTTTTTATGACATTATGTGAATCAAAGGGGTTTTCCTTTTAAGTAAAAGAAAAGGTCAGGAGTATGAAATCCTAAGCCCTCTTCCTCCCCCTATAAAACCCCACAGGTTCACTTGTAGAAAAAAATTGCAAATGAGGAAGAAAAATGCTTTCAGCTAGAAAAGTTAGTTTTGGATTTGTGTATTCAGTAACAGAACATGTTGAAGTTTTTATTAAATGCAAGAAAATGTCTCTAAAGTAAAATCCTTTGTGTTGACATTAGATTTTTTATTGTATTATAGTAACTTTATTCAAACTTTTTTTTGTTTAGCATTTAACAGAAGAGAAACCTGATGGCCTTATCAATGAAGCTACTAGGTATTCATATTTAAAGTATATATTGATTGCTGGCTAATTGTAAAGAGAAAAATCACTAAGATGAAAACCAAAAACAAACTAAGAAATTTTAAAACATAGTCAAGGAAAATTTGTTTTCTTTTTTTCCCTTAGTTGAATTATTGCTATCTATTTATAATGATCTCATAACTAAACTTTTACTTGAAGTCATTTTTGTCGTAGCATAAAGTGAATGCTGAACACAGGAGTTCTGTAATTTTGAGGAACTCGGGAAATATTAACATTTAGAAATATTTTCTTGTTATACAATTTCTTTGGGATTGAAGATTTTTTATATATATATATATGTATAATAATAATAATAATTATTATTTTTTGAGACAGAATCTCACTCTGTCACCCAGGCTGAAGTGCAGGCTCACTGCAACCTCTGCCTCCCAGGTTCAAGTGATTCTCCTGCCTCAGCCTCCCAAGTAGCTGGGATTACAGGCACCCGCCACCATGCCCAGCTAATTTTTGCATTTTTTTATTTTATTTATTTTATTTTATTTTATTTTATTTTAGTAGAGATGGGGTTTCACCATGTTGGCCAGGCTGGTCTCGAGCTCCTGACCTCAGGTGACCCACCCGCCTCGGCCTCCCAAAGTGCTGGGATTACAGGCATGAATCCACTGCGCCTGGCTGAACTTAAGTATTTTTGTAACTTTTTTCCTTATGAAAATATGGTTATTATAGAAAATATAAATAAGCCAAATAGAAAATAGCCAAATTGGATTTGTGATGTACATACTGTTGAAACCTGCTCTTTCAGTGAACTAAAGTTAATTTAGTTTTGAGAATTTAGTTGTATTCTTTGAGATAAAGCATAAGACCCTGAATAATTGAGGAAAATTGAAAGAATTTCCAGTTTTACTATCCTGTTAATAGAAAATAGAGCTTCTGATTATTATCATCTACTTTGTTATCTAGCATTCAGTCAACTGGATTCTTTACAGAGATAATATACAGTATATTTATAGTGATAAAGAAGACATTTGTGCAATATCCTGATATATCTTCTGAAGTATAGCTTATTTTTTTTAAGAAATGGAGTCTTGCTATGTTGCCCAGGTTGGACTTGAACTCCTGGGCTTAAGGGATCCTCCCTCCTCAGCCTCCTAAGTAGCCAGGACTACAGGTGTGCTCTACCATGCCCAGCTCTGAAGTATAGTTTTAAAAAACCTGTTTAATACAGTTTTTAGTATTAAGTGAAGTTATTCTATTTCTTTGAAAATTTTGGTAAATATTACAGTATTTTAGTAGGTAAACTCTTCTTCTTTTTACCATATTGGATATCTGAATTTTATGCTTTTCTTCACAAAGAAAATTATGAGTTTAAAATCATCCTTTTGATTGTAAACTTTTTGAGACTTATCTTTGTAGCGCAAGAGTAGCAAGTAACATAACTTAGTAAATACTTTGCAAATGGGTAATGTGAAATCTGAACTTGCATAGTAATGAATACAATTCATTCACATTGAAAAATTAGCGGATTAGGAGTAAACTGAATCACTCCTATAGAGCACTATATAATTCTTAACTGATATATTGATCTACATGAGGTGTTTTTATTTATTTTTAATTTGTTAACATTTCTCTTTTGATGTATTAATCTGCATGCGTGTATATTATTTAAAATTTCTTAACATTTCTTTTTGTTTGCTATTTTAGGCAAGTTGCTTTGGCAGATATCATTCTCATTAATAAAACAGACTTGGTTCCAGAAGAAGATGTAAAGAAATTAAGAACGACAATTAGGTACAAAATGATAAGTGTGTTAAGTGCCTACAGATCCATATTGTATACACAGAATATTTTTTACTCTGATTGTTGCCCTGTAGAAACTTAAGGTATAAGGTTGACCTGCTTCAAGAACGTTAGGGAATCACATATATTGTTGATGGCTAATTGTTATATAAATGGTAATACATAAAATTAGTCCTCAGTGCTTGCAGAATATAGTTCACAGTTAATAGACTGATATTCAGGGTCTTCGCACTCCATCTTTCTTTTCCTGTCTTCTCTTTGACTCTTTCCTAATGTCAGTCTTCCCTAACTTTACCCAGGATGGTTAATTCACTTTCCCATGGATGCATCCTCTCAGTTCCTGTCTTTACTCATAATGTATTCTCACTCTGCCAATCCCTGAGTTCTTTCTTGTTCTGTTTTTTTTTTTTTTAAATTTATTCTATAGAGCCTATTCTGTCTCTCCCCGCTTCCTATGTGAAGTCTTCCCTGACTCAAGTGGTCTCAGTTTTCCCTGAACTCTTGTTGACTTCATCTTCCTTAACTGTCAACCATGCCTTGTCTTCCAGCTTGCTTTAATATCTTCTTTGTCCATAGCCAAGGCTGATCAGCATAGGACAATCAGGACAATATGAATGATGCTCAAATATGTGCTAACAGTCATTTTGCTGACTGTTCTGGAGACTCCCATTCCTTTTGAAAACAAAGATGGACTTTTCAAATGAAGTTATAGTTCAGGGACTTTGTTTTGAATTATTTTGTAAGACCTGAACTAATAAAAGCCCTATACAGAGAGACATTCGGTAGCTATTATTATTGGTTATCTTTAATGTGTACAATGCTTTGAGCGTGATGGTGGCTCAAAATTACTATTCTTAGTATTTATAAGTTCTACTGACATTAGATTTTGAATCTGTCATCTCAGTTCATATAGTATATATTATAAATTGAATCAATAAAGGTAAGGCTCATTAGGAGATTATTTGCCATGATTAATGATTGTGGAAGAAAGAAATTCACATTTTTTCCACATATTTCATCTTATTTTAATAGTAATGTCCTTAAACTTTACTATAAAAAAATATAATGTCTCCATGTGGAGGGTAGGTATTGTTGCGTAGTGTTGAAGATCACAGACCTTGGAATCTGCTTGGGTTCTAATCCTTGGTCTGTTTCTCATTGTCTTCTTAGGGAGCTTATTTACCCTTTTAAAGCCTCCTCTGTAAAAGGCATAATGCCTATCATAAGTTTGCTTTGAGTATTACGTGAGACAATGTTGGTAAACTTTGCACAGTGCTGACACATAGTAAGTGCTCTGTTAGCTATTATTATGTAATTTTTTTCTTAGCTTACATAGTAAGTTCAAGGTATAGTAAAAAAGGGAAGAAAGAAAAAGATGGCTGATTTTGAAAAGGAGAAAGTGATGAATGAAGATTGCTTTTACATTTTTTGACACTGGTCTTCTAATCTTGTTTCCTTCATAAATCTTGTGCACCATTGTGATTGCTAAGAAGAACACAATCTATTTAGCAAACGTTTTTGGCATAAAAGGAATGATAATTATTACTTGACTTTTATATCCTTATAGAGACCTAAGCTAAATCTCTGACACTGACAATATTGACTATTAGCCAGCTTGTTAACAGTACTAGAAATGAATTTGGAAGAAGCAATTTGATAAATTACACACCCTTTTGGCTTTTACCCTCCCTTTATATCAGACTTGTGACTGACTCAGAATGATATTTGGGGAGGTGAAAAAGGTAAACATGTTTGAGAGGAATTAGCCATCAGACTAGAGTGTATTCAAAAAAGAAGATTTAAGAATTTTGTAAAATAGTGGAGAGACTTGCCTCAGAATCATTATATGTGGGAAGCCTTACCCATGAGAACAACCTTGAACAAGTAGCAAGAATCTTGGGTAAGTAACCCTAAAGACAATTGAATTCATGATAGGGAATTGATGATTGATGATAGGCAATGGAAAAGATAAATAGATGAGGTGTACAGTGTGCTGAAAAGAATTTAACAGGTACTTTTTGGTGCCATACAAAGCCATATTCTATAGTATCAAAAGAGGGAGAATAGGCATAACGGGTAGAGAGCCTAATTAGGGAACTGACGAGGTTATTCTATAAAGGAACCTGGGATGTGTGACTTAGAATTACTGTGAATACTAAGGACAGGCTGGGGGCAAAGCAACTTACAACTAGGTTTTTATTTTTAGTGTGTATATAGCCATTTCTACCACGTATGCCTGAGGAAAAAAGTGACCACCGTAAAAATTTTGAGTATCTACTCATTTTTAAGATCACTAGGATAACTGACTATTTATGAATGATTTTTTCTAAAGTGAAGCGTCTTTTTATTAACCACAAAGTAGCCCTTAATCTGACAGTTGTGCGAATTTTTGCATATATGTTTTATTGATGTATGAGTGGAATATATGTGATTTATTGTTTGAAGGAAAATCATAATTATTTTTTAAAGCAAGTTTTGTTTTTCTGTTTTTAATTTTTTTCTGGTTCCAGATGTATTTGGGTATGCTTATTTCCTGTTTTAGAAACAATATACTTTGTATACTTTTTTAAAAAGTTAATTTTTACTTTTAAACTTTGTCTTCCTCATTTATTATTTATTTCAGATCCATAAATGGACTAGGACAAATCTTAGAAACACAAAGATCAAGGTACTTTAAAAAAGCTATTCCTATTAATAACAAATCATTTTAGTTATTAATAATAAACATTAAGTAATTGACAAATATGCTTGATTCTGATATAAGAAAGATCTAAGTGCATTTAAAAAGAATTGGATCCAAAATGTTGTTTGGAATGCTCTTAATAAGTTAGTTTGGCATATTTGGCTAGTACATTTGCCTGTCTTCAAAACTAAGATTACAAAGCCATGATAACACTGTGTAAGTGTTTGCTTAATGAGGAAGAAAAGACTTCCAAACACTCGAGAGGGTAACTCAGTACAGAAATCTGAAGTATATTGAGGAATCTTAATTTGAAGTGTTTAAATGGCTTTTTAATATTTAAAAAGCCTTCTTAGTGTTTTATAGTTGCCAAAAAATACATGGAGTCTTTACCTTGAAGTTCCTGACAAATTCTTTTATTAAATTTTGACTTTCATTTTCTCTAGGTTCTGTTCCTAAAACATCTGTGAAGTGTATTTCTGTAGATTAAATTCTGTTTTCCATTGAATGTTATCTTAATTTCAGAAAATTTCTGTGCAGGGTTATTTTATTAAGCTCATTTTTTTTTTTTTTTTTTTTTTTTTTTTGGTGAGAAAGGCTCAGCAGCTGATAGACTCAGCAACAGGCAGCCAGGAGCTCTGAGGCTCACAGCTGGCATTCTAGTTCCACTCAGTCTCTACTTGAGAAATTCTTTCTTTGGAAGTACAGCAGAGGCCTTAGGTGAGTGGCTTGTCTGCTATGGCAGAGATTAGAGGTGCTGCCAGACTGCCATAAGTGTTAGGCAGTAACAGCAGCAGCTGCTTATATGCATGTGAACAGCTGGGGAATTAATTTGGTATGCATTCTCAGGAGCCGCTCATCTGCTGGCAGAGGTAGCCGAAGAATGCCCTTTAGTGTAAGTCCTCTACAACCATACACCAAATGTGCTCCCTGCATTTCAAATTCCATTGTAGAAAGTCTCTGATAATCTCACTTATACCATGAGCCATTCCTCAGTATCTGTCCTCTTCCTGTTAGTGTTCTACAATTCCTTTCTCCTTAATTTTTCTCCGCTTTACAAAATGTCACACAGACAAGTGCATAATACTTAAACAAGCTTTTAAAAATAATGCTCATAAATAGCTTTGGTTCTGTCATAATATTCGTATTTATAAACATTTTAAGTCAATTCTCTTCTTTTGTTTTCAT
Source organism: Homo sapiens (assembly GCF_000001405.40). Taxonomy (NCBI): domain Eukaryota; kingdom Metazoa; phylum Chordata; class Mammalia; order Primates; family Hominidae; genus Homo; species Homo sapiens. The sequence continues at coordinate 65,317,315 of NC_000009.12, read as the reverse complement.
TTCAGAAATATCCATGTCCTGAATAAAAGTTGTGTCTTGATTAGTTTATTATGTAACAATTTAGTGTGTTTGACATTTCTAACTTTTATTTCTAACATTTGCTTTATTATAGAACAATAAACATGCAGTGATTGATTTTTCTTACTTCAAGTGGATGAGTGAGCAAGTGACTAAAATCTTCTGTGAATTCTTCAGTGTATGGTTCTTGCCAATGCATCTGAGAATCTAGGGACTTTCTGAAATAGTACTTCCTTGCTATGAGGACTGAAGTTGGATTAGAATCCGTTTCAATGAAGATCAGATGTCCTGAGTAGAATTCTTACTATTGGGTCCTGAATCTTACATTAAATATTCTCTCAAATTCCTTGAGGCATAGCAACTTGAGCTTACCAGTTTAGAAACTGGAGATTTGGGCTGGGCGCGGTGGCTCACGCCTGTAATCCCAGCACTTTGGGAGGCCAAGGTGGGCGGATCACGAGGTCAGGAGATGGAGACCATCCTGGCTAACACTGTGAAACCCCATCTCTACTAAAAATACAAAAAATTAGCTGAGCCTGGTGGTGGGCGCCTGTAGTCCCAGCTACTCAGGAGGCTGAGGCAGGAGAATGGCGTGAACCCGGGAGGCGGAGCTTGCAGTGAGCTGAGATCGCACCACTGCACTCCAGCCTGGGTGACAGAGCGAGACTCTGTCTCAAAAAAAAAAAAACAAACAAACAAAAAAACCGGAGATTTGGTTAACAAAATAGTCAAAGTCACTCTTATAGAAGTTTTGTTTTATTTTTTGTTTTTTAAAATTTTTTTACCATTTTGTAGCTGACAAGTACTGACAATAAACTGCTATAAGCATGTGTAGAAAAAGGCTCACCTTGAGTAGTTAAGAGTAAGGAAAAGGAATAGTGTGTAGCATCGTCTTAGTGGTAAGACTTAAGTTGATTTAGTAGCAAATGGAAGTACTAGTGAACCACATAGATTTCAGAAGTAGGAGTAAAAGGTTAGAAGATGTGTCATTTTAATCTTCTCTAGACTTTTTCTTAATTTTTAGAAATGTAAGTGGACTGAACAGAGGAAAACCAAAACACAGCTGGTCAATAATAAGTTAAATTAATTTGACAAACTGCCTGCTATGCATTTCATAGCATTTTAAGGACTATATAAGCAATGGATAAGGCGAAAACTCTGCCTTTAAGGAGATCAGTCACTGGGGGGAAACAGAAGCAAACAAACAAAAAGGCAACATAATAGATATTAATATTAATACAAGAATTTTAAAAGCACAGAGTTCTATAATAATAGGAAAATAGAGGGAATGATTGCTCAACTTTTCTTGAAAAAGAGTCAGGAAAATATTGACCGAGAAGGCAGTCATTGACCTGAGTCTTAAAGAATGAATAAGGTTTTTACAGATGGAGTAGGGTAGGGATAACTTTCCAGGTATAAGGAAGATTTTGTATTCCAGGGACCTTTGAATATTTTAGAATGGCTAGAAAACTTGGTATTATGTAGCACAGAAAAAGTGGTATGACTGAAGAGATAGAGAACTTACCACAAAGGGTCTTGAATGCCATGATACATAGTTTGGATTTTCTTCTGTAGGGAGCAAGGAGTTAGTGAAGGATTTTAAAAGCAAAATGACTCTTGGGAGGTAGATTCAATGTGAGGCTAATCTCCGAGGTATAGGAAATACAGGAAGGAGGAGCAACAGGTCGGGTAGTGGTGGAAGCAGGTTTGGAAAATGTGATTAGTTTTGTAAACGTTTTTGAGTTTGAATTGCCACTGGGGAAGGCTTTTGGAAATTTATTTCCAGAGTTGAAGACTGAGCTATCATTGCAGTTTGCTCAGCTATTTACTGAGCTATCTACTGTCAATTTGGATAGTATCTACAGTTTTCATTGTAGATACTGGATACTTGGATTGGCTGGTGCACCCTGTTTGTGAGACTCACTGGAGTTTGAAGAGATGACCACTGGAAAATATCCCTAAGCAGTAGCTGCAATTCCACCCCCACCTTGGAGAGCCAAAACCCTCTTCGTTTTCACTCTCCTGTCCTTGGTCTTAAGCTACTTAAAGCAGCCTTTAGACATAGGGAAAAATTGAAAGCCTCTCTTTTAAGAAAAACATTAGGTACTTCTGGAATAGAGAGTTCAAGAAATTAGGAGAAAAATGAACTTTTGAAGCTTTTTCTTTCCCTTTTTTGTTTACTTCATTCTCTTACTCAGTTTTAAAATGCTGGTAATGGTCTTTTTTTTCTTTTTTTTTTTTTCTTGGCGATTTTAATGCTTTGGAAAAGATCTCATGCTTTTATCTCCAAAGGAGGAAATTAATTTGATGCCATGGAAATTAGTTTTCTAGTCGTATGCCTTGAATGAGTGAAGAATTTCTTTTTCATGGTGGTACTAAATTTGGGGAAAGCTATAGAAACTTTCATCTGGAAGCTTACACTTTTCCTCTTTTTTGAAAATTTGGTGAGAGACTTGGATATTTTATTATTTTCTGTAAAAGAGTGTAATTTGTTGTACAGGTCTAATATTGATCCTTTTTTGGAAGTATGGAAAGAATCTGAGTATAAAGCAGAATTACCTCTGGATGGCATGTATTCTCAAGGACGCTGTCATAGTGAAACAGTTTATTTAGAAGCTTGTGTTTCCAAACTGTTGAATTTGATATTCACAAAATTGGCATGTGTAAACTTTATTAAACTTTAAGCTATTTCCTAAGATGAAGATGACAAACTTGGAGGGAAACTTCATTCATTTGGTTTATTTTTATTTTTATTTTTATTTATTTTTATCTTTTTGAGACAGAATCTCACTCTGGTTTGAGACAGAATCTCACTGTGTCCCCCAAGTTGGAGTGCGGTGGTGCGATCTCGGCTCACTGAAACCTCTGCCTCCTGGGTTCAAGCGATTCTCCTGCTTCACCCTCCGAGTAGCTGGGATTACAGGTGTGCACCACCACACCCAGCTAATTTTTGTATTTTTAGTAGAGACGGTTTCGCCACATTGGCCAGGTTGGTGTCAAACTCCTGGCCTCAAAGTGATCCGCCCACCTTGGCCTCCCAAAGTGGAGCCCCCGTGCCCCTTGTTTGTGACCTGTCAATATAAATATGCTCAGTAGCGGGGGGAGGGGTGGGGGGTGAAAAAGGAAATATGTTTAATATTAAGACTTTGGCCTTTTAGTGTAAACTGATATTCAAAAATTTCTTCATAGAACATTTGCTTCTTTGCTTGATCATTTTTCTAATTCTGTACATCTAAAATGCCCAGAATTTGAGTTGCTGTTATAGTCTACTAACATAGAACTTTGGAGTAATAAGATGGGAATTTGTCTCTCTTTTGCCAAGACAAGTATTCGTAATCTAACACAGTATTGTTGCCACGAGTACGAGTATGTGATAGACTGTTGAGAATAAAGAAAGCAGGCACAGTTGGTCAGTCCTAAGATAAAGGAGATGTTTTTTCTTATATGTTTGTGCATTAAAGAAAAAAAAATCTTGAATCTGACCAATGATGTTTTTTTTCCTTGTAAGAAAATTTAACAAATGTTTGGCAAGCTTCTGGAATCTAAATTTGAAATTATACATTTGTCATTTTCTTTAAATATTTCTTCACCTTAGCTTTGATTATGAGAAATCACTGTCCTCTGCTGTTCTTTTTTTTTTTTTCTTTTGAGGCGGAGTCTCACTCTGTGCCAGGCTGGAGTGCAGTGGTGCAATCTCGGCTCACTGCAACCTCCACTTCCTGGGTTCAAATGATTCTCCTGCCGCAGCCTCCCGAGCAGCTGGGACTACAGGTGCATGCCACCACACCCAGCTAATTTTTGTATTTTTGGTAGAGACAGGGTTTCACCACGTTGTCCATGGCCAGGATGGTCTTGATCTTGACCTTGTGATCCGCCCGCCTCGGCCTCCCAAAGTGCTGGGATTGCAGGCATGAGCCACCGTGCCCGGCCTGTCCTCTGTGGTTTTCTGGGCTTATGTTAAAATTATAACTCAATCACCAGTCTTTATAAATTTGCTTTTTTATATTTAAACCAAACCTAATGCTAATTGTGATATGTTATTTATTCTCACCTGATTTGAATCATTGGATTCAATTAAATGAGTTTAATTATCATTAAATAATTCTAAGAGAAATAATGTCTATTCGGATGGTGGGAATTTTCTTTCTACATGCAGCCCCATTCTGAATGAATGAAATCAAATCACGTGAAGATCAGGGTCCTAGAGTAACCTAATATTTTGTACATTGGTTATTTGACTCCTCATTTTTATATTACATGTTATATCAAGGGAGGGGGTATAAAAGAAATACAAAAATTGCAGAGGTATCTGGAATGTACCTATTTGTTAATTCTATTTGTCATTTCTTTTGTTTCATCTTTTGAGTAATAAGCTGCTTGGAAAAGTTTCTGTTCTTTAGCTGATTTTTTAGCTATAAAAATGTATTTGAAAAGCTCATAAATTTCAGGATTGAAAAGATAATTGAAAGTTTAAAAAAAACCTAATTCATTGAAGTAATAACCAAATAATTTTCAATCTTGATTCAACTGTGATTCAAATCTTACACCATTTGCCCACTTCTATGAATTTTATGTATAAAATTTTTTAAGAGTCAGAGTTTTTTTTTCTTGATTAATTGGATGTATTTCACAGAATTTCCAACTGCTCACGTTAGTTTTCTTCCTTTTAGAGTTGATCTCTCTAATGTATTAGATCTTCATGCCTTTGATAGTCTCTCTGGAATAAGGTATGTTTTGTATAATTTGGTTACTTTTATTGTTATGTACCTTTTTTCCCCATAGTTAACAGGAATGATTTGCACAATTGCATCCATGATTTAAGCTTCCTGCCATTCCTTTGGCATACAAGACCATTCTTAATGAGGTATATTCTTGGAAGTTTTACTAATTGGTTGTTTGGAAATCATATTGCATTTTCCTGTAGAAATTATAGTGTAAATGATAGTTAACTTTAGAGGCTAATCGTTAACACTTCTACACCAAACACTATGTCTAATACTCTTTCTATGAGAAAATGCATGAAATACATGGAAAATTTTAGCTTAGCGTTTTCACACAAATAACTCTCTTCACTTTATTTTTTTATTTTTTATTTTTTCTTGAGTTTTTTTTAAATTTATTTATTTATTATTATTATACTTTAAGGTTTAGGGTACATGTGCACAATGTGCAGGTTAGTTACATATGTATACATGTGCCATGCTGGTGGGCTGCACCCACTAACTCGTCATCTAGCATTAGTTATATCTCCCAATGCTATCCCTCCCCCCTCCCCCCAACCCACAACAGTCCCCAGAGTGTGATGTTCCCCTTCCTGTGTCCATGTGTTCTCATTGTTCAATTCCCACCTATGAGTGAGAATATGCGGTGTTTGGTTTTTTGTTCTTGCGATAGTTTACTGAGAATGATGATTTCCAATTTCATCCATGTCCCTACAAAGGACATGAACTCATCCTTTTTTATGGCTGCATAGTATTCCATGGTGTATATGTGCCACATTTTCTTAATCCAGTCTATCATTGTTGGACATTTGGGTTGGTTCCAAGTCTTTGCTATTGTGAATAATGCCGCAATAAACATACGTGTGCATGTGTCTTTATAGCAGCATGATTTATAGTCCTTTAGGTTATATACCCAGTAATGGGATGGCTGGGTCAAATGGTATTTCTAGTTCTAGATCCCTGAGGAATCGCCACACTGACTTCCACAATGGTTGAACTAGTTTACAGTCCCGCCAACAGTGTAAAAGTGTTCCTATTTCTCCACATCCTCTCCAGCACCTGTTGTTTCCTGACTTTTTAATGATTGCCATTCTAACTGGTGTGAGATAGTATCTCATTGTGGTTTTGATGTGCATTTCTCTGATGGCCAGTGATGGTGAGCATTTTTTCATGTGTTTTTTGGCTGCATAAATGTCTTCTTTTGAGAAGTGTCTGTTCATGTCCTTCACCCACTTTTTGATGGGGTTGTTTGGTTTTTTCTTGTAAATTTGTTTGAGTTCATTGTAGATTCTGGATATTAGCCCTTTGTCAGATGAGTAGGTTGCAAAAATTTTCTCCCATTTTGTAGGTTGCCTGTTCACTCTGATGGTAGTTTCTTTTGCTGTGCAGAAGCTGTTTAGTTTAATTAGATCCCATCTGTCAATTTTGGCTTTTGTTGCCATTGCTTTTGGTGTTTTAGACATGAAGTCCTTGCCCATGCCTATGTCCTGAATGGTAATGCCTAGGTTTTCTTCTAGGGTTTTTATGGTTTTAGGTCGAACGTTTAAGTCTTTAATCCATCTTGAATTGATTTTTGTATAAGGTGTAAGGAAGGGATCCGGTTTCAGCTCTCTACATATGGCTAGCCAGTTTTCCCAGAACCATTTATTAAATACGGAATCCTTTCCCCACTGCTTGTTTTTCTCAGGTTTGTCAAAGATCAGATAGTTGTAGATATGCGGCGTTATTTCTGAGGGCTCTATTCTGTTCCATTGATCTATATCTCTGTTTTGGTACCAGTACCATGCTGTTTTGGTTACTGTAGCCTTGTAGTATAGTTTGAAGTCAGGTAGTGTGATGCCTCCAGCTTTGTTCTTTTGGCTTAGGATTGACTTGGCGATGCGGGCTCTTTTTTGGTTCCATATGAACTTTAAAGTAGTTTTTTCCAATTCTGTGAAGAAAGTCATTGGTAGCTTGATGGGGATGGCATTGAATCTGTAAATTACCTTGGGCAGTATGGCCATTTTCACGATATTGATTCTTCCTACCCATGAGCATGGAATGTTCTTCCATTTGTTTGTATCCTCTTTTATTTCCTTGAGAAGTGGTTTGTAGTTCTCCTTGAAGAGGTCCTTCACATCCCTAGTAAGTTGGATTCCTAGGTATTTTATTCTCTTTGAAGCAATTGTGAATGGGAGTTCACTCATGATTTGGCTCTCTGTTTGTCTGTTGTTGGTGTATAAGAATGCTTGTGATTTTTGTACATTGATTTTGCATCCTGAGACTTTGCTGAAGTTGCTTATCAGCTTAAGGAGATTTTGGGATGAGATGATGGGGTTTTCTAGATATACAATCATGTCATCTGCAAACAGGGACAATTTGACTTCCTCTTTTCCTAATTGAATACCCTTTATTTCCTTCTCCTGCCTAATTGCCCTGGCCAGAACTTCCAACACTATGTTGAATAGGAGTGGTGAGAGAGGACATCCCTGTCTTGTGCCAGTTTTCAAAGGGAATGCTTCCAGTTTTTGCCCATTTAGTATGATATTGGCTGTGGGTTTGTCATAGATAGCTCTTATTATTTTGAAATACGTCCCATCAATACCTAATTTATTGAGAGTTTTTAGCATGACGGGTTGTTGAATTTTGTCAAAGGCCTTTTCTGCATCTATTGAGATAATCATGTGGTTTTTGTCTTTGGTTCTGTTTATATGCTGGATTACATGTATTGATTTGCATATATTGAACCAGCCTTGCGTCCCAGGGATGAAGCCCACTTGATCATGGTGGATAAGCTTTTTGATGTGCTGCTGGATTTGGTTTGCCAGTATTTTATTGAGGATTTTTGCATCAATGTTCATCAAGGATATTGGTCTAAAATTCTCTTTTTTGGTTGTGTCTCTGCCCGGCTTTGGTATCAGGATGATGCTGGCCTCATCAAATGAGTTAGGGAGGACTCCCTCTTTTTCTATTGATTGGAATAGTTTCAGAAGGAATGGTACCAGTTCCTCCTTGTACCTCTGGTAGAATTCGGCTGTGAATCTATCTGGTCCTGGACTCTTTTTGGTTGGTAAGCTATTGATTATTGCCACAATTTCAGATCCTGTTATTGGTCTATTCAGAGATTCAACTTCTTCCTGGTTTAGTCTTTGGAGGGTGTATGTGTCAAGGAATTTATCCATTTCTTCTAGTTTTTCTAGTTTTTTTGCGTAGAGGTGTTTTTAGTATTCTCTGATGGTAGTTTGTATTTCTGTGGGATCGGTGGTGATATCCCCTTTATCATTTTTTATTGCGTCTATTTGATTCTTCTCTCTTTTTTTCTTTATTAGTCTTGCTAGCGGTCTATCAATTTTGTTGATCCTTTCAAAAAACCAGCTCCTGGATTCATTAATTTTTTGAAGGGTTTTTTGTGTCTCTATTTCCTTCAGTTCTGCTCTGATTTTAGTTATTTCTTGCCTTCTGCTAGCTTTTGAATGTGTTTGCTCTTGCTCTTCTAGTTCTTTTAATTGTGATGTTAGAGTGTCAATTTTGGATCTTTCCTGCTTTCTCTTGTGGGCATTTAGTGCTATAAATTTCCCTCTACACACTGCTTTGAATGTGTCCCAGAGATTCTGGTATGTTGTGTCTTTGTTCTCGTTGGTTTCAAAGAACATCTTTATTTCTGCCTTCATTTCGTTATGTACCCAGTAGTCATTCAGGAGCAGGTTGTTCAGTTTCCATGTAGTTGAGCGGTTTTGAGTGAGATTCTTAATCCTGAGTTCTAGTTTGATTGTACTGTGGTCTGAGAGATAGTTTGTTATAATTTCTGTTCTTTTACATTTGCTGAGGAGAGCTTTACTTCCAAGTATGTGGTCAATTTTGGAATAGGTGTGGTGTGGTGCTGAAAAAAATGTATATTCTGTTGATTTGGGGTGGAGAGTTCTGTAGATGTCTATTAGGTCTGCATGGTGCAGAGCTGAGTTCAATTCCTGGGTATCCTTGTTGACTTTCTGTCTCATTGATCTGTCTAATGTTGACAGTGGGGTGTTAAAGTCTCCCATTATTATTGTGTGGGAGTCTAAGTCTCTTTGTAGGTCACTCAGGACTTGCTTTATGAATCTGGGTGCTCCTGTATTGGATGCATATATATTTAGGATAGTTAGCTCTTCTTGTTGAATTGATCCCTTTACCATTATGTAATGGCCTTCTTTGTCTCTTTTGATCTTTGTTGGTTGAAAGTCTGTTTTATCAGAGACTAGGATTGCAACCCCTGCCTTTTTTTGTTTTCCATTTGCTTGGTAGATTTTCCTCCATCCCTTTATTTTGAGCCTATGTGTGTCTCTGCACGTGAGATGGGTTTCCTGAATACAGCACACTGATGGGTCTTGACTCTTTATCCAATTTGCCAGTCTGTGTCTTTTAATTGGAGCATTTAGTCCATTTACATTTAAAGTTAATATCGTTATGTGTGAATTTGATCCTGTCATTATGATGTTAGCTGGTTATTTTGCTCGTTAGTTGATGCAGTTTCTTCCTAGTCTCGATGGTCTTTACATTTTGGCATGATTTTGCAGCGGCTGGTACCAGTTATTCCTTTCCATGTTTAGCGCTTCCTTCAGGAGCTCTTTTAGGGCAAGCCTGGTGGTGACAAAATCTCTCAGCATTTGCTTGTCTGCAAAGTATTTTATTTCTCCTTCACTTATGAAGCTTAGTTTGGCTGGATATGAAATTCTGGGTTGAAAATTCTTTTCTTTAAGAATGTTGAATATTGGCCCCCACTCTCTTCTGGCTTGTAGAGTTTCTGCCAAGAGATCCGCTGTTAGTCTGATGGGCTTCCCTTTGAGGGTAACCCGACCTTTCTCTCTGGCTGCCCTTAACATTTTTCCCTTCATTTCAACTTTGGTGAATCTGACAATTATGTGTCTTGGAGTTGCTCTTCTCGAGGAGTATCTTTGTGGCATTCTCTGTATTTCCTGAATCTGAATGTTGGCCTGCTTTGCTAGATTGGGGAAGTTCTCCTGGATGATATCCTGCAGAGTGTTTTCCAACTTGGTTCCATTCTCCCCGTCACTTTCAGGTACACCAATCAGACGTAGATTTGGTCTTTTCACATAGTCCCATATTTCTTGGAGGCTTTGTTTGTTTCTTTTTATTCTTTTTTCTCTAAACTTCCCTTCTTGCTTCATTTCATTCATTTCATCTTCCATCGCTGATACCCTTTCTTCCAGTTGATCGCATCGGCTCCTGAGGCTTCTGCATTCTTCACGTAGTTCTCGAGCCTTGGTTTTCAGCTCCATCAGCTCCTTTAAGCACTTCTCTGTATTGGTTATTCTAGTTATACATTCTTCAAAATTTTTTTCAAAGTTTTCAACTTCTTTGCCTTTGGTTTGAATGTCCTCCCGTAGCTTGGAGTAATTTGATCGTCTGAAGCCTTATTTTCTCAGCTCGTCAAAGTCATTCTCCGTCCAGCTTTGTTCTGTTGTTGGTGAGGAGCTGTGTTTCTTTGGAGGAGGAGAGGCGCTGCGTTCCTTTGGAGGAGGAGAGGCGCTCTGCTTTTTAGAGTTTCCAGGTTTTCTGCTCTGTTTTTTCCCCATCTTTGCAGTTTTCATCTACTTTTGGTCTTTGATGATGGTGATGTACAGATGGGTTTTTGGTGTGGATGTCCTTTCTGTTTGTTAGTTTTCCTTCTAACAGACAGGACCTTCAGCTGCAGGTCTGTTGGAGTACCTGGCCGTGTGAGGTGTCAGCCTGCCTCTGCTAGGGGGTGCCTCCCAGTTACCTCCCAGGGGGTGACCTCCCAGGGGGTCAGGGGTCAGGGACCCACTTGAGGAGGCAGTCTGCCCGTTCTCAGATCTCCAGCTGTGTGCTGGGAGAACCACTGCTCTCTTCAAAGCTGTCAGACAGGGACACTTAAGTCTGCGGAGGTTACTGCTGTCTTTTTGTGTGTCTGTACCCTGCCCCCAGAGGTGGAGCCTACAGAGGCAGGCAGGCTTCCTTGAGCTGTGGTGGGCTCCACCCAGTTGGAGCTTCCTGGCTGCTTTGTTTACCTAAGCAAGCCTGGGCAATGGCGGGCGCCCCTCCCCCAGCCTCGCTGCCGCCTTGCAGTTTGATCTCAGACTGCTGTGCTAGCAATCAGCGAGACTCCGTGGGCGTGGGACCCTCCGAGCCAGGTGTGGGACACAATCTCCTGGTGCGCCGTTTTTCAAGCCCGTCGGAAAAGCGCAGTATTCTGGTGGGAGTGACCCAATCTTCCAGGTGCCGTCTGTCACCCCTTTCTTTGACTAGGAAAGGGAACTCCCTGACCCCCGTGCTTCCCAAGTGAGACAATGCCTCGCCCTGCTTCGGCTCGCGGATGGAGCACGCACCCACTGACCTGCGCCCACTGTCTCGCACTCCCTAGTGAGATGAACCCGGTACGTCAGATGGAAATGGAGAAATCGCCTGTCTTCTGCGTCTCTCACGCTGGGAGCTGTAGACCGGAGCTGTTCCTATTCGGCCATCTTGGCTCCTCTCTCCTCTCTTCACTTTAATAATGGATTAGTTTTCTGCCTTCTCCTGTGGGGAATCTTTTTGGTAAGGGAGAGAAGAAAGATTAGTTATTCTTGTGCATCGGTATCTTTTTCTTTTTTTATTGTAGTAAGAACATCTAACATGAGATCTACCCTCTTAACAATTTTTTAAGTGTACAATACAGTATTGCTAACTATAGGCATGAGGATGTGCAGCAGATCTCTGGAACGTTTCACTCTTTATAACTGAAGCTTTATACCCCTTGAATCGCAGTTTCCCATTTCCCTGTCTTCATAGCCCCTGGCATCCACCATTCTACACTCTTTCTATGGGGTTGACTATTTTAATTACCTGACACAAGTGGAATCATGCATTATTTGTCTTTCTGTGACTGGTTTATTTCATGTAGCATAAAGTCATCAAGGTTCATCCATGTTTTTGCATATGGCAAGGTTTCCTTTTTAAGTCTGAATAATATTCCATTTTCTACATATACCACATTTACTTTATCCCTTTTTCTGTTAGTGGACATTTAACTTGTTCTCACAGCTTGGCTATTGCAAATAATGCTGCAATGAATATCTCATAAGTCTCGTATATGTCCATACAAGATCATGAAAATGGACATGTCTCTGGGTATTTTGAATTGGTGGGACAATTTTGCTTAAGGGTAGGCATAGTGGGTGGCTCTACATTTGAGAGTTCTAATTCCCATTCCTATATATATTTCTTTTCTTTTTATTTATTTATTTTTTTGAGATGGGGTTCTCTGTCACTCAGGCTGGAGTGCAGTGGCACAAACATGGCTTACTGCAGCCTCAACCTCCTGGGCTCAAGTGATCCTCCCATCTCAGCCTCCCAAGAAGCTGGGACCACAGGCATGTGTCACCATGCCTGACTAATTTTTTTTTAATTTTCTGTAAGCATGGGGTCTTGCTATGTTGCCTAGGCTGGTCTCAAACTCCTGGGCTCGAGTGATCCTCATGCCTCAGCCTCCCAAAGTGCTGGGATTACATGTGTAGGCCACCACACCCAGCCTTATATATGTATTTCTAATTTTGCCTTAGCCATGCCCTTAAAAACTAATTATACTTTCAACTAGTTTTTTTTTCCACCTTCAGTCTGTGGTATTGTTCACATTTTGAAAACAATACCTACAGTAACCTGTGAGGTAGGACATGATAGTGTTTTATTGGACCCCTTTTACTTTATGAATTGGAAAAACTAAATTTGCATGTAGTTTGTAAAAAAAAAAATAAAGAAAAAAGAAATTGATTGAGATTATTTCAGCAGCCAGAAGTGTGGGACAGGCAGGGCAGTTATTCCTCCTTCTCAGTTTGGAAACTGAAGCTCAGAGAGTAAACTTGTCAGTGACACAGTTATTCAAGAAGTTGTCTTCAGTTGAGAGATATGTTTTTCACCTGTAGCTTCTGGTATTGGAGCAGTACCTTTTTAGACTAAACAAATTACAGTTAAAATTATAAAGGTATTTTTGGAGTACCTGGAAAAAAATCAGCATTTTGCTTTTCTAGTTCCATTTAGTAGGAAGGCAGGAAAGTTTGGTATACCTGAATTACATGTGAGTTATTTCTATTTTTCTAAAAATTCTTATAAATTGTGTAAGGTAAAAATGACTATTTCTTGTTTTATGGTAAATATAGTTATATCCTTTCAAGCCACTGCTGTACAAAGTTGTGAAATCTCCCTGAGCCTTTTTCCCTCATGTCAGCTTCAGGTATCCAGTATCACTTATGCTTGATAATGATTGTATGAAAATCATTCAGAATTATACTATGTTTTTTCATATAAAGCTTTTGTTTTACTAATTTTGAAATAACTGTTCCTCCATTAAGCGAATACAGCCCTAAGCATAAATTTGGTTTGTTCATTTAAAAATGGTCTTTTTTTCCCATCTTATTTCTGGCTTTACTAGGGAGATAGATTGGCTGAGGTTGTCACCTAATTCTGGGAGGTTAAGAGCCTTTGTCTTTTGCTACCCATTTCTGAAATAACCAGAAGTCTAGCCCATCCTAACTTTCCTCTCGATGATCCTTTTCTTCTTTTTACTTCAAGGTTCCAGCCCTTCATTTGACTATCAGTGCTGTTTCACTAGTTAGCCATGATCCCTTTCATCCTCCGTGTCTGGATTAGAACTGTATTTTTAATTTGATGCTGTGGGCAGTTTTGATAGTTACAGATCCTGTGATACATTTAAATGTGTTTACAAGGGGAACAAATGAAACAATGCTGCATGAAATTTGCCTTTCTTTTTTTTTTTTTTTCCCCTTGGAGACAGGGTCTGGGTCTATTGCCCAGGCTAGAGTGCAGTGGTGCGATGTCAGCTCCCTATAGCCTCTGTGTCCTGGGCTTAAGCCATCTTCCCACCTCAGACTCATGAGTAGCTGGGACTATAGGCACGCACTACCATGCCTGGCTAATTTTTTATTTTGGTAGAAGATGAGGTTTTGCCATGTTGCCGAAGCTGATCTTAAACTCCTGGGCTTAAGTGATCTGCCCACCTCAGCCTCCCAAAGTAATGGGATTATAGGCATGAGCCACCACACTTGGCCTTTTCTTTTTTTTATATTTATTTAATTATTTTATTTTATTGAGACAGAGTCTCACTCTGACACCTGGGCTGGAATGCAGTGGCTATCATGGCTCTCTGCAGTCGTGAACTCCTGGACTCAAGTGATCCTCCCATCTCAGCCTCCTGAGTAGCTGGGACTACAGGCTTGCACCCATGCCTGGCTAATTTTTTTATTTTTACTTTTTTGTAGTGACAGGCTCTCGCTACGTTGCTCAGGCTCATCTTGAACTCCTGGCCTCAAGTGATTCTCCTACTTGGCCTCTCAAAGTGCTGGGATTATAAACCTGAGCCACTGAACCCAGCAAAATTTGCCTTTCTTAAACTAATTTATCTCTGTTGGGTCCAAGAGCTTACAAGTTGGTTGTCATTTAATATGTTAAACACTAGAATATTTTTTAGTTGAAATTTTATTTTTTCCCTTTACATATTGTATCCTTTAGTGCTTTATTTCACTAATAAGAATTATAGTATGCAATCATTTCCCACCTCTATATTCAGTATATCAATTTTTGTTTTTCCTTTCTACTTCTGTCTTTTGCTATAATTTGCTGTAATACAGGTACTTTCATCAAGGCATCCAGTTCTTTATATCATTCTATATTTTTACTTGGGAGAAATAGAAATGTTGCTAATTCCATCTTACTGACAATACCTAAATTATTGTTTGTTATAGAACATAATGATTTAAATATACAAAACACTAAACTGTTTGAGATTTTTTACATTTTATGTGTGCAGAATTTACATTTTATGTGTGCAGAGACAAAAATTGTTATAAGATTACAAGTTAATGTGCAAGATGATTTCCGATTCATGAGTTTCAGGTTTTGATAGCATATCCTTATCCACTAGATTAGTCTTTTAAAAATGTGTATGATAGGGAAAAAATCGAGGGCATGAAATTCTGAGACTTATGGGAACTAAACTTAAATGTTCGTTGTTAGATTTTTTTTTTTTTTTTTTTTTTTTGCTGCATATGAAGTTTTAGGCAGTCATTGTCCAACAACATTAAATACTGAACATATGGGAAAAGCATATGATTTTTCAAAATGTTTTTCTAAAGTAATCTCATTCTACATACACTTAAGAGCAGTTATAATGCTTTAGTGACACTTGAAGTAGCTTTTTAATGTGATCTCACCACTATAGGGAAGGCCGTTGCATGACTTTTTTGTGTGTGCTTAACTGCTAAACAGGAGAATCTTTTCCTGAGCAACCAGCTGGGAAGGATTTAATTTGACATTCTCCCTACTAGGACCCCCCCAAAGAGACTCATTCCCTCCAATAGTTCCTACAAGTTCTTTCTCTTTCCTAAACTTGCTGTTACTAATTTACCCCTCACTGTTTTCAAGGCAAAGCATCTGCAAGGTTTTCAGTCCTTTCCCCCTCCCGTCCTGTCCCCATCAGTGTTGAAATGTATGCTACAGTTATTATGGTTGTAATTTGTTATGCCATGTTGATCTTCTTGTGCTTTTCATATCAGAACAATGCATTTTTAACATTCTGACTTTCTTTTTCTCTCAATTGGTAACTGACTATATAGAAAATTTATATTTATGGATACTATTTCTTTTTTAATAAGTTCAAGGGAAAACATTGATAAAGGAAAATTTATCCTTTCAACTTTCTTTAGGTGCCAGCATTATTTTCATATTAGGAAGCAGGAGAAAGTTAAGGAACTCTAAGCAATACTAGAATGGTTATATATATATTTAAGTTTGTATTAAACCTGTTGGAATGGTAAAGAAATTTACTGACATATTTAACCATACAAAATAGTGTTGCTAAAAGACTAGTTTTTCTCTTTATTCTGTGCATATGTATATATATGAATGTGTGTTTTTTTTTTAAGAAATTTTAAAAAAACTTAATCTGCCAGCTTTTCTCTATTGGAATTTGCAAACAACTTGTAAAATTGGAATTACAGAATATTAGAATAGTCAGTTATGGAAAGTCACTTCATTATCCTTGTGTCACTAAATAACGTATAAAGTTAAATCAGAAGTGTATTAATCTCTGAATTTCTAATCAGTTGTTTTTAGTTTGCAGAAAAAACTTCAGCATGTGCCAGGAACACAACCTCACCTTGATCAGGTAAAGAAAAAAAATCTAAATCTGAAATTCCTAATCAATGTTTTTAAAGGACCTCTTTAACTAGATAGGCAATGTTTAGGACTATTTTATTATAAACTTTTTCTAAAATGGTATTTTTGAACTGTGTTGATAATTTTTGGAATCTTAAATGCTTTTGACATAGTCTAATTCTATTTCTTAACACATAATAGGAATTCATCAAACCAGATTTGTTTTAGAATCTGAGGAAATCATGCTTTCTAGCCTTTCCATTCTGTAGATTGCTTAGCATATTGGTTAGTTCTGATAGGGATTACTCCTTAAAAGCAGCCTGGGGGTTCTATAGGCAGTCTGTTTTTAAGTATGTTGAATTGTTTAAGGAAAGGTCTGATATAAGCATGGCTTATTTAAATAAAAATTGACTTGGAGTTTCACCTTCAGGTAGCACTATAAATTTGAACTCCTTAAGATGTTTTTCATGCTCTAAAATTCTAATCCCTAAGGTAAATATCTAAGATGCTAGGAACAATTTAAATATAATTTTACTGTACCTGCGTTTCTGTTAAGCAGATCATAGATCGTAGAGGTTTAGGATAACTTCTTTGTTCCTCTTAAAACCCTGAGGGTTGGAGTGGGGGATGTGTAAGTGAGCAGTGTGCCTAATCTTCCTTCCTCTCTCTCAAGTGATCACTCAATTTTTGAATTGCTATTGGTTGTAATAGGGCCAAGATAACAGCTACTTGCATTTGTATTCATTTTGGTTCATATTTATGAGCAGGTTTGCTACTATGTTTGTGGCACCTTTCCCTGTGAAACTTTTGTTAATAGGATATTCCTCTTCACTTATCTTTAAAATGAATAAATGAGAGAAATACAAGTCCTTGGAGATAGAATTTATGGTAAAAAAAAAAAAAACCCAGTTCTTTATGATAGTCAGTATCTGTCATATAGTTGAACATGAAGCACATTTGAGCTTCTGGGTAAAGAACGTGATGCCAAGAATCATAGGGATGAATAGATGAAGAAAACGCAGTACTCACTTACCATGAACATTTGGAGCAGCCAGTGTCTCCATCCATAGAATCTCGAATGAACCCCTATTGTGGCAGTTATGATGCCTTGTAGTTTGGTTGAAATGCTTTTGCCTTGCATTAGTCTATAAATTCCTTAAATATAAAATCTTTATTGCTTAGTACAGGGCTTGGTGGATACTCAGTGAATATTTGTTAAAAGAATGAAAAGCTGTGTTTCTCAAATGGGGTATAAATCAGAATCACATGTGGAGCTTTTTTAAAAAAAATTCGATAACTCAGTAGTTCTCACCCCTCAGTCTCCAGGATTGGGACTTGGGTATGTGTATATTAATGTATATTTTTAACATTTTATTATGGAAGATTTCAAAGATATAAAAGAATAAACAGAATAGTAAAGTAAACTCCTCGTATGCATCACCCAGTTTAAATGGCATCAACATTTAGCTGATTTTATTTCACCTATCCTCCCAACATTTCTTTTGCCTGGAGTATTTAAAAAAAACAAATGTATTTTAATAGGAAATTTCAAACGTACATAAGAGTAGAATAGTATAATGAGCCTTTATGTACCTATTGCCCTTGGTGTAGTGTATTAAAGCAAATTCCAGACATTATGTCACTTTACTACTAAATAGGGCATATCTGTATTTTTGTAGCCTCTGTAGGAGATTCTGATGCACTGTCCTGCTTTAGATAATATAAACATAGGGAAAAATAGTATCACAGCCAAAGGGCTATGGGATTCAGAGGCATGAACAATTTCATTTGGTTTAGTGGATCTGAGGTGTAAGGGAGGAAATTTATCTTTTCCTCACCTATCACTAGATTCATGGCTGAGGTCTCTCTAACAGAAGACCAACTATCAAGAGAAATTTCAACATAGAAATTTATTTAGTAAGTTTTACTTGACACAGGAGCCTTCATAAAACATACCTGTGTATGTTTTCTGTTAGTTATGATATGGAAGAGGATAGTAATGGAGAAGCATAATTAGATAAAACAGTATGATCTAATAAACTGGGAAGAACTTAGCAAGGCCTGTTTGCTCAGATTTTTCTCTGTGACCCTTCATATTCAGACTTAAGGATGTTCTTTTCCTCTGTGTATAGAGAGGGCACCTCTTAAATGAGGGTCTTATGACCTGCATCAGCGGAAGGTCAGAAAATCTTTCCTAGGTTTTATGACCTGCTTCAGGAGAGAAGGTGAGAGTGACCTTCCTGATTCTGCCATTTTCTCAAATATTGAGTTGCCATATTTTGGGATAGCATGTCCTGAACCCCATCAAATGCTTCATGAGGATAGTTTTTCATTTGTTTCTTTTGGTTTTGGTTTATTTATTTGCATACAGTAAAGCATGCAAATGTGTAATTTTAGTGTACAATTCAATGTTTGGGTTTTGTTTTTGTTTTTGTTTTTTTGGTTTTTTTTGAGACGGAGTCTCACTCCGGCTAGAGTCTCACCCAGGCTGGAGTGCAGTGGTGTGACCTTGGCTCACTGCAACTTCCTCCTTCTAGATTCAAGTGATTCTCATGCCTCAGCCTCCTGAGTAGCTGGGATTACAGGCATGTACCACCATGCCTAGCTAATTTTTGTTTTTTTTTTTTTTTTTTTTTTTTTTAGTAGAGATGGGGTTTCACCATGTTGGCCAAGCTGGTCTCAAACTCCTGACTTCAGGTGATCCACCTGCTTCGGCCTCCCAAAGTGCTGGGATTACAGGCGTGAGCCACTGTGCCCGGCCTCAATGTATTTTTACATATATTTGTACCTATATATCTGTCTATATGCACATTCAAACACATATCCTTCTAACTCCCACTCAGGTCAAGATACAAAAGATATCCAAAATTGTAAAGAGTTCCTTTTTGCCCCTTCCTAGTCAAAGAAGGGGTAAGTGCTATTCTGACTTACTTAACAAAAAATAAACTTGAACTGGTAGGATTTTTTTTGACGGTAGGATTTTTTTTGACGGGAAGAAGTAAGGAAAAGAGCAATACGGATGTTTAAAAATGAGAAGGTGAGAATCTTATAGATGAGTAGGTCTCTGGTACAGAAGTCTTAGTGGAGAGTTGGTACTGGAATCCTGGTCTAAGGTATTAGGTTTTAATTTGCTAGACAAAGAGAACTCAAGCAGTGCTGTCTAGGAGTGTTATGTAAGCTAGATTGGACTTTAGAGTCAGGAGACCATGCGGGAAGATACTGTGTGATAAGGGCCTGAAACATGTTGGTTACAGTGAGACTAGAAATGGGATAAATCCAGAGCTGTTTCACCAGTAGACTTGCCTGAATATCCTGTCTGACTGATTATGGATCAGAAAGAAAAGAAGGGGTGATGGGAAACAAGCCTAGATTGACTAGAGAAACCTAGAAATAGAAAAATCGGGAAGGCAAAGTGATTTGGATGATAATGCCATATATTCAGTTGTCCCTGGTGGCCAGATATTATAGTATAGATATTATACAGGCAAAGAAGAACGGAGGGATAGAGTGTGAAGGTACAGATTTTGAGTTTAAGCACATTAGGGGGCTTAGTGTTCTGGATGAAGAAAACATATAAAAGTTATTGTATGTTAGGTATTGTTTGCAAAAGAGTAGAAAATGGAGAAATAACCCAGTGGGTTAAAGAAGAAACAGACTAAATAAACAAACCTGAGTAAGTTGTTCCTAAATTTTATTTTAGAGGCAATTCCTCATTTTGCTTTAGTTTTCTCAATTATTGCCTCACTTTTCTGTTTCTTTCTCTGTCAGCATACATGGAAAAAGGAGTTAATTTTAGATTCAAAACAAAAACTGGAAAAAAAAAGTCTGAAATGGGTAATACCTAGGACCTAGTATATATGTGTTATTAAGGCTCTATCCCTGAATTTTTAATGCAGTTATCTATTTTTCATGGATTCTTTGTTTATTCCCCATAAGGAACACCTGGGTTTGGAGAATGGGAAGGTAGATGAGAAAACCCAAGTGACAAAGAATGTTTAGTTTATTATTAGAACCAACTATGAGTTGTGACCCTTATCTTCTGCACTGGGAATTACAGATTTTTTCAGGGTTTTTCTAACGTGAAAAGAGTTTATTGGTGTAGGAAAACATCTGGTTCCAAAATATAGATCATCCTTCTTGAGCCCCGTGATGCGTTATCTTAATTTTTAAAGCCTTTTGTGTCTCATACTGGAGTTTATTGTACCCCTTAAAAATATTAAGTCACATATTTAACCTGATAAAAGCAAAAATCATTATAAAAATCTTTCGGCTGGGTGTGGTGGCTTATGCTTGTAATCCTAGCGCTTTGACAGGCCAAGGTGGGTGGATTGCTTAAAACCCAGGAGTTGTAGACCAGCCTGGGCAACATGGTGAAACCCCATTTCTGCAAAAAATACAAAAAATTAGCCAGGTATGGTGGCATGTACCTGTAATCCCAGCTACTCGAGAGGCTGAAGTGGGAGGATTGCTTTAGCTTGGGAGTTCAAAACTGCAGTAAGCCATGATTGTGCCACTCTACTCCAGCCTGGGCAACAGAGTGAGACCCCATCTCAAAAAAATTTATTCAGTTAAAATCTTTAACAATAAAGCAATTTTGAGTCGTATTTTGCAACATTCTCAATATAGTTTTCCAACTTGCATTAAAATACATTTTAAACATTTTTGAAGACTAAATTAATTTTTTTAACTGACATTTATGTTTCATTTGACAACCTTTTGCTGTATATTTTATGTGGACTTTTAGGTATTGTAGTGATTCCTTTAATGAAGAAATAAAATAATTGTCATTTAAAAATGCATATTATTATTACCTTATGCTATAAAAATAGTTTTAAAATAGAGTATGTTTATTAAGATTTAAAAATAAGTATAGTCATGCACTGCATAACAGCGTTTTAGTCAGACTGCATAAGATTACGATGGAGCTGAAAAATTACTGTCACACAAATACTTACCATTGTGTTATTATTTCCATACACTGTTCAGTACAGTAACATATATGCTGTACAGGTTTGTAGCCTAGGAGCAACAGGCTATACAGCATAGCTTAGGTGTGTAGTAGGTTATACCATCTAGGTTTGTGTAAGTACACTATCATGTTTGTATAACAACAAAATTGCCCAACAGCTCATTTCTCTTTATGTATCCATGACTGTATATTTTTTATTGTGGTAAAAAACACTTAACGTGAGACCTACCTTCTTCCACAAATTTTTAAGGGTACAATATAGTATTGTTAACTGTCTGTACATTGTTATATAGCAGATCTCTAGAACTTTTCATCTTGCATGACTAAAATTATACCCATTGAACAGCACCTCCCAATTTTCGTCTCCCTCTAACCCCTGGTAACCACCATTTTACTTTCTGATTTGATGAGTTTTACTGTTTTAGACACCTGATATTAGTGGATTCATGCAATATTTGTCCTTCTGTGACTGGCTTATTTCACTTAGTGTAATGTCCTCAAGATTCATCCATGTTGTAGTATATGACAGGATTTTTTTAAGGATACATAATATTTGGTTGTATGTATATTACCACATTTATTTTATCCATTCAACTGTCCTGGACATTTAGGTGGTTGTTAGTGTCTTGACTGCTGTGACAAAATAAGTACTTTTAAAAGTCTCACATTTGCAAGTTCAATTTGAACCTTTTTTTAGTCTGCTTGCACTTCTCTTATCAAGCAAGAAAGCACTTTTCTGCTTTTTCTATTACTAGTAACAGTGGAGATTAAATATCTCATGTTTTTGGGCGTTCTAGAGCCCAACACATCACCTGTTCCTTTCCATACTACCACAACTGACACTCTCTGGAAAGTGCCACCTCCCTGCAGCAGGCCAACCAGCACAAAAATAGTACATTAAACCAGCAAAGCTAAGAACCCTCAAAGAGTACATTTCACCCTCCTACCACCTCCACTGGAACAGGTGCTGGTATCCACAGCTGAGAGACCCACAGATGGTTCACATCTCCCGACTCTGTGCAGACTACCCCCCAGTACCAGCCTGGAGTCTGGTAGACTTGCTGGGTGGCTAGATCCAGAAGAGAGATAGCAATCACTACAGCTCAGCTCTCAGGAAGCCACATCCATAGGAAAAGGGAGAGAGTACTACATCAAGGGAACACCCCGTAGGACGAAAGAATCTGAACAACAACCTTCAGCCCTAGACCTTCTCTCTGACAGAGCCTACCCAAATGAGAAGGAACCAGAAAACCGACCCTGGTAGTATGACAAAACAAGGTTCTTTAACACCCCCCAAAAAATCACACTAGCTCACCAGCAATGGATCCAAACTAAGAAGAAATCCCTGACTTACTTGAAAAAGAGTTCACTAGGTTGGTTATTAAGCTAAGGCATCAGAGAAAGGTGAAGCCCAATGTAAGGATATTAAAAAAAAAAAGATACAAGAAGTAAAGGGAGAAATATTCAATGAACTAGATAGCATAAATAAAAAACAATCAAAACTTTAGGAAATAATGGACATACTTATAGAAATATAAAATGCTCTGGAAAGTCTTAGCAATAGAATTGAACAAGTAGAAGAAGGAAATTCAGAGCCTGAAGACAAGGTCTTCTAATTAACCGAATCCAATAAAGACAAAGAAAAAAGAATAAGAAAATATGAAGAAAGCCTTCAAGAAATCTGGAATTATGTTAAATGACCAAACCTAAGAATAACCAGCATTCCTGAGGAAGAAGAGAAATCTAAACGTTTGTTAAACATATTTGGGGGAATAATTGAGGAAAACTTCCCCAGCTTTGCTAGAGACCTAGATCCAAATACAAGAAGCACAAAGAACATCTGGGAAATTCATCACAAAAAGATCGTCATCTAGGCACATTGTCGTCAGGTTATCTGAAGTTAAGATGAAAGAAAGAGCTGTGAAACAAAAGCACCAGGTAACCTATAAAGGAAAACTTACCAGATTAACAGCACATTTCTCAGCAGAAACCCTGCAAGCCAGAAGGGATTGGAACCCTATCTTCAGCCTCCTCAAACAAAACAATTATCAGCTGAGAATTTTGTATTCAGCAAAACTAAGCTTCATATATGAAGACAAGATACAGCTTTTTCAGACAAACAGAGAATTCACCACTACCAAGCCACCAGTGCAAGAATGCTAAAAGGAACTCTAAATCTTGAAACAAATCCTGGAAACATATCAAAACAGAACCTCTTTAAAACATAAATATCACAGGACCTATAAAACAAAAGTACAATTAGAAAAACAACAAAAACCAAAAAAACAAGGTATACAGGCAACAAATAGCATGATGAATAGAGTGGTACCTCACATCTCAATACTAACATTGAATATAAATGGCCTAAATGCTCCACTTAAAAGATACAGAATTGCAGAATAGGTAAGAATTCACCAACCAACTATCTGTCGCCTTCAAGAGTCTCACCTAACACATAAGGACTCACATAAACTTAAGGTAAAGGGATGGACCAAGACATTTCATGCAAACGGACACCAAATGTGAGCAGGAGTAGCCATTCTTATATTAGACAAAACAAACTTTAAAGAAATAGCAGTTTAAAAAGACAAAGAGGGACATTATATAATGAAAAAAAGGCCTTGTCCAACAGGAAAGTATCACAATCCTAAACATATGCACCTAACACTGGAGCTCCCAAATTTATAAAAGAATTACTAATAGACCTAAAAAATTAGACAGACAGCAACACAATAATAGTGAGGGATTTTAATACTCCACTGACAGCACTGCACAGGTCATCAAGACAGAAAGTCAACAAAGAAACAGTGGATTTAAACTATACCTTGGAACAAATGGAGTTAAAAGATATATACAGAATATTCCATCCAACAACCACAGAATATACGTTCTGTTCAACAGCACATGAACTTTCTGTAAGATAGACCATATGATAGCCAACAAAATGAGCCTCAATAAATTTTAAGAAAATTAAAATTATATCAAGCACTCTCTCAGACCACAGTGGAATAAAACTGGAAATCAACTCCAAAAGGAACCTTCAAAACCATGCAGATACATGGAATAACCTGCTCCTGAATGATCATTGGGTCAAAGATGAAATCAAGATGGAAATGTAAAAGTTCCTCAAACTGAATGACAATAATGACACAACCTATCAACCTCTGGGATACAGCAAAGGTGGTGCTAAGAGGAAAGTTCATAGCCCTAAATGCCTCCATCAAAAAGTTGGAAAGAGCACAGACAATCTAAGGTCACATCTCAAAGAACTAGAGAAACAAGAACAAACCCAGCAGAAGAAAGAAGATCAGAGCGGAATTAAATGAAATTGAAACAAAACAACAAAAAAATCCAAAAGATAAATGAAACGAAAAGCTGGTTCTTTGAAAAGATAAATAAAATTGATAGACCGTTAGCAAGATTAGCCAAGAAAAGAGAGAAAATCCAAATAAGCTCAATAAGAAATGAAACGGGAGATATTACAACTGACACCACAGAAATACAAAAGATATTCAAGGCTACTATGAACACCTTTACATGCATAAACTAGAAAACCTAAAATAGATGGATAAATTCCTGGAAAGATACAACCCTCCTAGCTTAAATCAGGAAGAATTACCCTGAACAGACCAGTAACAAGCAGGGAGATTGAAATGGTAATTAAAAAATTACCAACAAAAAAATGTCCAGGACTAGACGGATTCACAACAGAATTCCACCAGATATTCAAAGAAGAATTGGTACCAGTCTTAAAGACACTATTCCACAAGAGAGAGAAAGAAGGAATCCTCCCTAAATCATGAAGCCAGTATCACCCTAATACCAAAACCAGGAAAGGACATAACCAAAGAAGAAAACTACAGACCAATATCCTTGAACATAGATGCTAAAATCCTTAAGAAAATTCTAGCTAACTGATTCCAACAACATATCAAAAAGATAATCCACCATGATCAAGGGGTTTCATACCAGGGATGCAGGGATGGTTTAACATACACATGTGCGTAGCCAAAGCAAGACTAAGCAAAAAGAACAAATCTGAAGGCATCACATTACCTGATTTCAAACTTATACTATAAGGCCATAGTCACCAAAACAGCATGGTACGGTTATAAAAATAGGCACATGGACCAATGGAACAGAATAGAGAACCCAGAAATAAACCCAAATACTTACAGCCAACTGATCTTCAACAAAGCAAACAAAAACGTAAAGTGGAAAAAGGATACCCTTTTCAACAAATGGTGCTGGGATAATTGGCTAGCCACATGTAGGAGAATGAAACTGGATCCTCATCTCTCACTGTATACAAAAATCAACCCAAGATAAATTAAAGACTTAAATCTAAGACCTGAAACTATAAAAATTCTAAAAGATACCATTGGAAAAATCATTCTAGACATTGGCTTAGGCAAGGATTTCAAGCAAATGCAATAAAAACAAAGATAAATAGCTGGGACTTAATTAAACTAAAGAAATTTTGCACAGCAAAAGGAACAGTCAGCAGAGTAAACAGACAACCCACAGAGAAGGAGAAAATCTTTCATAATATATACATCTGAAAAAGAACAAATATCCAGAATCTACAATGAACTCCAACAAATCAGCAAGAAAAGCAGTCCCATCAAAAAGTGGGCTAAGGACATGAATAGACCGTTCTTAAAAGGAGATATACAAATGGCCAATAAACATATGGAAAAATGCTCAACATCACTAATGATCAGGGAAATGCAAATCAAAACCACAGTGCGATACCGCCTTACTTCTGCAAGAATGGCCATAATAAAAAAATCAAAAAAATAGTAGATGTTGGCATGGATGTGGTGAACCCAGAACACTTCTACACTGCTGGTGGGAATGTAAACTAGTACAACCACTATGGAAAACAGTGTGGAGATTCCTTAAAGAACTAAAAGTAGAACTACCATTTGGTCCAGCAATCCCACTACTAGATATCCACCCAGAGGAAAAGAAGTCATTATACGAAAAAGATACGTGCACTCGCATGTTTATAGCAGCACAATTCGCAATTGCAAAAACGTGGAACCAACCCAAATGCCCATCAATCAATGCGTGGATAAAGTAACTGTGATATATATACATACAATGGAATACTCCTCAGCCATAAAAAGGAGTGAATTAATGGCATTCGCAGTGACCTGGATAAGATTGGAGACTATTATTCTAAGTGAAAGAACTCAGGAATGGAAAACCAAACATCGCTATGTTCTCACTCATAAGTGGGAGCTAAGCTATGAGGATGCAAAGGCATAAGAATGACACAATGAACTTTGGGGACTCAGGGAGAAAGGGTGGGAAGGGGATGAGGAATAAAAGACAAAAATTGGGTGCAGTGTATACTGCTCAGGTGATGGGTGTACCAAAATCTCACAAATCACCACTAAAGAAGTTAACCAACACCACCTGTTCCCCAGTAACCTATGGAAAGAAAGAAATGTCTCATATGTTTCTGCCTAAATTGGTCTTTAATACTTTAGCGATTCTCTTGAGTTTGGACTATAAAATAGTTTTGGTCTTTTTGTATTTTCTGCTGTAAGCCTGTATGATTATGTAATGGTGAGTAAAATTGCTAGGCCAGATACGCAGTTCTAGGAAGTTATTCAAAGATGTGCTTTAGTATATTATTTTCTACCTTTTTAAATTCATTTTGAGCTTGGCTTTTGAGCCTCTATTTTCCAAGGTGAGGTGTATGTTTTTATAATGTTATGCTTAGCCCTTGTGTATTTTCATCTCTGAGTTTGAAATTTGGGGTTATATTGGCAAAGGGAGGTTTGGGTTTTAATTAGGTGACCTGTTACAGGAAATGTTAAGCTTCTGTTTCTTTGGGGTAGACAGTGAGAGATTTATCAAGATAAAGAAGAAAAATAAATCCTAAAGTTAATATTCAATACATGATGATGTCACCCTTACTAAAGCCAAAGAGGGCATTATCCTATCATTCTCATCGCTAAGAACTCTTCTCCTCTTGGCACATGCTTATTCAGTTAAAGAT
The DNA here is from genome assembly GCF_000001405.40 of Homo sapiens. Classification (NCBI taxonomy): domain Eukaryota; kingdom Metazoa; phylum Chordata; class Mammalia; order Primates; family Hominidae; genus Homo; species Homo sapiens. Next base: position 65,290,452 of record NC_000009.12, on the reverse strand, counting down.
AAGCCAAGCCTTTCTTTTGTATTTTTTTTTTAAGAGAAAAAATTTACTTCGGTTTTGAGTTTTATTCCTGGCTCTGGGTAGCTTATTTTTTTGACCCTTATTTTCCCCAATTTATAAAATGAAATAGTTATCTTCACTCCCCAGGATTGTTGTGAAGAGTAAGTCAAAAGATAAAATGAGGTGACTCAGGCAAAAGTACCTGGCCCTGTGTAGTGAGTACATTGTATGTGTTACATATATTCTTATTGCTGAGAATCCACGAAAGAATGAATTAAATAATGAGGACCCTTTCATCAGGGTTTTTGAGTGAGTTTTTTAAAATACAAGGTAGTAGTTTGTGTAAATACTAAATCCATTGGTACCTGTGCAGAATGTAGGAAATGGAGTTGCTAATTCCAAAAAAAACAGCACATATGCTGAGGAAAGTATAATACCTAATATATATGGTTTAAGCAATGTAAAATTCCATGAATATGTTCCTTTTCATCTTAAAATTTGTGATTTAAAAAACATTGATATTACTATAAAGAATTATTATTATTTCCCTTGATTTACAGAGTATTGTTACAATCACATTTGAAGTACCAGGAAATGCAAAGGAAGAACATCTTAATATGTTTATTCAGGTGAATGCAATTTTTAACTGATTAATGATTTATCAATGGTTTTGTTACATAGTTGTTGCTATTAGCGATGGTTGGTCTTATTAAAATATGTCACTTGATACAGAATCTCCTGTGGGAAAAGAATGTGAGAAACAAGGACAATCACTGCATGGAGGTCATAAGGCTGAAGGTACAGTTTACTGTTGCAGACTTTTGGACAAAGTCCTTTTCTTGGCTGTTATAAAAACTATATTTGGTTTTAAACAGAAACACTGGTTTTAGTACAAATCATCTTTGTCTACTTTCATTTTTCTTTATTATTTTCATGACTGAAAAGGAGCTTTGGAAATCACTGCATAAGGCTTGATTTATTTGCACAACTTTCTTTAGGGTTGCAGCTAGAACAAACCTGTGCGCTTTGAAATGTTACCTTCTGCTCTCTGTTCCCAAGTACAGAGAAATAATGTTGCAAATCTCACTTCTGCTGAACATTATGCTTCCTGATGCATTTAGCAGACACTAAACATTTGTCATACTCTAAACAAAGTTACAAAGGACTAGAAGAATTCTTGTTCTGTATTTAGAAACCCACTCACATTACTTGATATTTGGGTATTTAAGTCATGAAAGGTATTTCTTCTAGGAAGCAGTGATTCTAAAGTGTATGCTTAACCAGTCAGTTGAGTGTCTACTCTTGTGTGTTCACAAGTGTACACAAAGTTTTTGGTAAATTAAGAATATTATTTCAAATAAATTAATTTCATCCCCATAGGAGCCAGTTTATCAGATAATTCGTTTCTCATTTCTGCAAATCAGTACACAATGAGCTCATATTCAGATAAATATAATAGTTTTTCTTTATTTCAACATTGTTCATTGATTGCAACCCATTTCTAAAACAAATTATTTAATATAACCAAACTCCTTTAACTTCTCAACTTTTCCCACTAAAACTGTGAAACATTATATAAAATCTTTAATCAATAGGATATGATACATATTTCATCATTTTGTTTCAGGTTTTGGTTGTGATAAATAACACTGAAAAACCATCCTAATATATGTATTAACTTTATCATTAGAAAAGGGGATTGTTCAAAAAAAAAACAATACACAGAAACCTTTTTTGAAAATTAAAAACATTAAGAAACTTCTTGTAATTCACAAATAATTGAAATTAAGTAATTTTCTCAGCTTAAGAGTTTGTATTTTTTAAGTGAATATCAGTAATTAATCCATTAACATTGATGCTCTATTTCTGCTTTTAAGTTTGAACTGAGGCTGATCAATGTTCAGTCAATTCTCCTTTGAGCAGGGATTGGTGTCAATCAAAGACAAATCACAACAAGTGATTGTCCAGGGTGTCCATGAGCTCTATGATCTGGAGGAGACTCCAGTGAGCTGGAAGGATGACACTGAGAGAACAAATTGATTGGTCCTCATTGGTAAGTCTCAAAGGATTCACAGTTTTAAAACAAAGTGAAAAATATATTTGAAAGGGATATCATGTGCCACTTAAACAGATTAACCATTCAGGTCCTCTTTTAAAACTAAATAAGCTTGTGGTCAATGTTTCATCTTTATCATGTTACAACGTTCGTAAAAGCTTGTTAGGACTTTTGTTCTTCTTCAGTTTTAGAAAAGTGGTTAATCCAAGGACCAATGTGACTTTGATGTACTGACCTGGAAAGTTAAAGATGGAATCACTCAATTGCTATTCTTTTTGTAAATTTCTAAACACCATAAAGCATTTAATGAACTGGAATTGATAGGTGAACTGTGTCATTTTAATAAGCATAATGTAATCACGTCATATTTTGTTTTGTTTGCAGGCAGAAATTTAGATAAGGATATCCTTAAACAGCTGTTTATAGCTACTGTGACAGAAACAGAAAAGCAGTGGACAACACATTTCAAAGAAGATCAAGTTTGTACATAACACTAGTGGCATTTCTTATCAAAAGGATTGGATAATAAAAATAAGTTTCTACTGTGTATATTTCAAGCATTTATTTATTACTTTAGTTACGAATTCCAGTATACTTTAAAATGGTATTTGTTTTACAGCATACATAAAATGTAGCAAATCAGTACTGTAAAACATTTAACATTCATACAATTATATATAATATCCTTTTTTTTAAAGAATGGTATTTCACAAAAATATCTTTTGAAATTGGCTTTGGAGTTTACATATACTGAACATGAAAGTTTATAATAATGATGATACAACTTTCAACATTGTCATTTTTTCTTAGAACTTCAGCTGATTGCAGAGATATAATGATTACATTGTTATTAAATTTTTTTAACACAAGTAAGTGTCACCATTTTATGACATGAAATAAAAGGTTATGACTGTTATTGATGTTGATGTTGACGACCTGATCACCTGGCTGAAGGAGTGTTTGTCAGGTTTCTGCATTGTAAAGTTACTCTTCTCCCCCATTTCATACTGTGCTCTTTGGAAGGAAATCACTATGCACAGCCCACACTAAAGGAATGGGGAGTTGTAGTGTACTTTCTTGGGAGTGATCTACATAATTAATTGAAATTCTTCTGCAAGGGACAGTTGTCCCTTTCGCTTTATTAGTTTGATCATTTATGTTTATCAGTGTGGACACGAATATTTTATACTTTGGGTTACAATTTAATACTACTTTATTTTGTTGCTCAAATTTTCCCAGCTTTGACCATTGGGAACTCTTTCAGTTATCTCCTGTTCCCCCCTTTGACATACCCCCATCAATGTGGGTTTTGTGTTTTGTTTTTGAGCGCCTCCTTATTTTTCTCCTGTATTTTTAAATAACCCCAATCCCTATTGAAGCTGGCGCTAGGAAAACTAACAATACTCCCTTTCCCAGGTCATCCGATTCCTATGCTGATGGAGGAAATTTGCCTCACATGCTGGGGGGCGCTGGGGAGGAGGCGTCTGGGATTATGTGGTTGAATAAGACACGTGGCCTGGCCCTCCTGGAGCTTAGTTTAGTAGGTCACACAAGCAGTCATTGGTAAATTTGGGATTCAAACAAATCTGTTAGGCTCAAACCTGTCTGTTATTTGTCCTCCAAGCTTCATATAAACTGAGGAGCCCTAAAGGGTAAAAACTTCAGGAGCAGCAAAGTTTCAAAAAAAGATCAGCAAGAAAGCTCTTTTCCAGATTTTATCCTGAAGGCACTAGCTACTTTAAGCTATTTTTTATTATATTTTGCCCTTGCAGTTGGCGTTTGATTTCTCACTGAACATTCATTGTCATAATTATAGACACTATGTGACTATCAAGGGCATAATATTCTTTCATGCTGCATTTTTTATTAGATGGCACCTCAAAGTTTTCCCAAGTAGGTGGGTTTTAAATTATGAATATATACCGTGGCATAGTATCTTACTTAGTATTTTAATAAGATCCTTATTTATATAACAAATATTTTTTTATTCCTCTGTATTGCTACTTTAGTCTCTGAGCTAATTTTCATGAAGCCAATCTAAAAATCGTGTTACTTCTAAGGATGTGGAGCGAGTGAGATGAACAGTTGTGCTGTCATATTGCCCCTCCCCAGTGCAGATAGTGAATGAGGACCCACTGATTTAAAGGCAACACTGCAGCCCCTTCTTGCCTCATTGAAATCTCAAGTTTTATTACAGTAAAAGCACTTAATGTTGACATTTCTGAAAGAATGAAGAGGCCGGGCACGGTGGCTCACGCCGGTAATCCCAGCACTTTGGGAGGCTGAGGCAAGCGGATCATGAGGTCAGGACATCGAGACCATCCTGGCTAACACGGTGAAACCCCGTCTCTACTAAAAATACAAAAAATTAGCCAGGCGTGGTGGCGAGCGCCTGTAGTCCCATCTACTTGGGAGGCTGAGGCAGGAGAATGGCGTGAACCCAGGAGGCGGAGCTTGCAGTGAGCTGAGATCGCCCCACTGCACTCCAGCCTGGGCGACAGAGCGAGACTCCGTCCCAGATAAATAAATAACCAACCAAATTAGCTGGGCGTGGTGGCGGGCGCCTGTAGTCCCAACTACTCAGGAGGCTGAGGCAGGAGAATGGCGTGAACCCGGGAGGCGGAGCTTGCAGTGGTCCTAGATTGTGTCACTGCACTCCAGCCTGGGCGACAGAGCGACTCCGTCTCAAAAAAAAAAAAAAAAAAAAAAGAAAAAGAATGAAGAGCCAGAGCCAGGCATAGTGGCACGCCTGTAGTCCCACCTACTCAGGAGGCTGAGGCGGGAGGATCACTTGAGCCCAGGAATTCAAAGCCAGCCTGCGCAACATAGACCCTGTCTCTAAAAATGAATTGGTTATAAAGGATGAAGAAAGGAAGGAGGAAAGGGAGAAAGAGAAGCCCTTATAGAGTGGGTGCATTTCTTGTATGTGGGGCCACTTTGTAAGAACAGGATTTTTCAAACTGGGCCCATACTGGTATGTGTGAAATCAACTTAGTTGGTTATGGCCATTTTTTTTTAAAAGGAAATATCAGTGATCACTATAGTGTAAGTATATTGTTTCGTGAAACCCATCTTAGTTATGTATTATGTCTGTATGTGTAAGATTGTTATATAAAATGTATTTCTGTGGTTAAATATTCAAAGAAATTGGAGAACCATTGCTACAAGGGGACAGAGGACTCCGTGTGAGCTCTCCTGCCTTCCCTGAATAAACTTACACAATTTAGTGCTGGGACATTTGGACCTTTTCTGAAAATTTGAGTCAGGGAGAGCATCTTGGGGAGGTGGGAAGGAAGGTAGAAGGAGCAAAGCAACACCCCCCTGAAGCCTGGGAATATTGTCAGAACCTTAAATATAATTCAGCTCACCATTCTGGGTAAGGACAGACTCTACCAATGAAAATGGGTGATTACCAGCTGTGAAACACAAAAACATACTTTTACGGTTACACATTCCTTTACAAACAACCGTGTACATTTCAGCCTCCTGCCCCACCATTTCTTTTCTCCAGGAGGGAAGGCTGCATGTCGAGGTGGTCATAGAATGTTGAGTATCATACTTTCCTACCTCGCTTTTATTTGCGCGGGTTTAAATGCGCCTTAACAGAACCCGTGCAAAGGCTTGCCAACTGTCTGGCTGCACCGGATGAGTAGAGCATCTTCCTTGGTGGCAGGTGGGTGCGAGGAGGAGGGGCCTGGGCTTTTCTCCGGACAGTGTTTGCCCAGAAGACCATCATCCCTGGACTACGTTAGGAGTAAGTGGCACCGCTCCGAGGTGGGGGAAGAAGGGTTATAAAGGGGGGAGTCCACCACACATGGTCTTGAAGAAGCTTTTATAAAAGGCAAAGGCATCTTTGCCGGACGTTGTTGCAAAGGAGTAGAAACAAGCAGACGAAAACATCCCAAAGGGTAACCACTAGCATTGCTGCTTCTTGCAACATTCATCCCAGGCTTCCAGCTCAGCCCGCCCCAGGCCAGGTGATCGGCCGCCACATCCCCTGCGACTGAAGCACCTGCTCCTCCATGAACCTGCCAAGAGCTGAGCGCCCTCGCTCCACACCGCAGCGCAGCCTCCGGGACTCCGATGGGGAAGACGGTAAAATCGATGTCCTGGGAGAGGAGGAAGATGAAGACGAGGTGGAAGACGAGGAGGAGGAGGCGAGACAGCAGTTCCTAGAGCAGTCACTCCAGCCGGGGCTGCAGGTGGCCCGGTGGGGCGGGGTTGCGCTTCCCCGAGAGCACATCGAGGGCGGCGGCGGCCCGAGTGACCCCTCAGAGTTTGGCACCAAGTTCAGGGCACCGCCAAGGTCTGCGGCGGCCTCTGAAGATGCCCGGCAGCCGGCAAAGCCCCCCTACTCGTACATCGCGCTCATCACCATGGCCATCCTGCAAAACCCGCACAAGCGCCTCACGCTCAGCGGCATCTGCGCCTTCATTAGTGGCCGCTTCCCATACTACCGCCGCAAGTTCCCCGCCTGGCAGAACAGCATCCGCCACAACCTCTCGCTGAACGACTGCTTCGTTAAGATCCCCCGCGAGCCGGGCCACCCAGGCAAGGGCAACTACTGGAGCCTGGACCCCGCCTCCCAGGACATGTTCGACAATGGCAGCTTTCTCCGGCGTAGGAAGCGTTTCAAGCGCCACCAACTGACCCCGGGAGCCCACCTGCCCCACCCCTTCCCTCTACCTGCTGCGCACGCCGCCCTGCACAACCCCCACCCAGGCCCTCTGCTTGGGGCCCCTGCCCCGCCGCAGCCAGTCCCGGGGGCCTACCCCAACACCGCCCCCGGGAGATGCCCTTACGCTCTGCTGCACCCGCATCCTCTTCGCTACCTACTGCTCTCGGCCCCCGTCTATGCCGGGGCACCGAAGAAAGCAGAAGGCGCGGACCTGGCGACCCCGGCACCCTTCCCGTGCTGCAGCCCTCACTTGGTCCTCAGCCTTGGGAGGAGGGCAAGGGTCTGGCGTCGCCACCGGGAGGCGGATGCATCTCTTTCAGCATTGAGAGTATTATGCAAGGGGTCAGGGGAGCGGGTACAGGGGCTGCGCAGAGTTTGTCCCCGACCGCGTGGAGCTACTGCCACCTGCTCCAGCGACCATCAAGCCTGTTGCATCCCCAAACCGCTGCCCCTTTGCTGCAAGTGTCCGCCGCCGCTGCTGCTCGGACAATTTTGCAGCAATAGCAGCAGCATCAGGAGGACTGCGCCAACGGCTGCGCTCCCACCAAGGGCGCGGTGCTGGGCGGGCACCTGTCGGCCTCGTCGGCGCTGCTGAGGTATCAGGCAGTGGCGGAGGGCTCTAGGCTGACATCGCTGGCTGCCCCTTTGGGCGGAGAGGGGACCTCACCAGTTTTTTTAGTATCGCCCACGCCCAGTTCCCTGGCCAACTCCGCAGGGCCCTCCTAGAGCCAGGTGGGAGTGGGGAGCGACCCGCAGCTGCTCACTCCACCTTGCGCGGCCCATACTGGGCGTGTGCATCTGAATCCCGCTGGAGAGCAAACACGAACTTCTGTTCGTTCGCTGCAAAATGGTTAGAAAGATTACATTCCTCTAAGCTGGATTACGTTCCTCTAAAAACCACCTGAACGTAACCTTCGCAGGGCGTCAAGTCATCTTTTCTTGCCTTCGGTTGTGGCTTCTATGGCTGTCCCGATTTGCACATTGTCATCTTTGAAGGTTAGTGACATAGCATTCATCTTCTGTTGTCACCTTTTCCGTCATTCCCTGTATGCCTGATGGACAGGTTTCACTGAAGTTCAGAGAACAGCATGCAAAATTAGCTACCAATTAATCTTTATGAAGTGAGCTGCATTTCTAGCCACACTGAGCTTATGTTTTAGCAGGAAGCATTTTTGGGAAATGTTTATGTTAGAGTTTGCCCTTCTTGACAAGGTGAGACATAAATGTCTACTTTAGAGACATGAATTAAGATGGGAAGATATTTGGGGGAATCATTTACTCAAACGCTAAGTAATAAAGGTACACAAAGGGCAAATTATACTAGATTTCTTTCCCACTTGTTTTCTATGTCTCTTGCAATTCACCTTGATTCCCTTCAGTTTCTGTTTAATGTAGAAAGTGGCATTTTCATTATTTTAAGCTTCTAGCACAATGAAAGAATTTCTCTTTTTCATGAACAGGATCATAAATGGAAGGGAGGAAGAGTGTCCTATATCATATTTATTGTTCAACAAAACACTGCTCCACGGCTTCAATTCAGTTTAAAAAAGAGAATTTATTGAATATCTAACACATACATAAAAGGCAGTAAAGACAAATGAGAAGAGGGGAGGATATTGAAGTATACGGACTTCAATGCTGAGTTTTACATCTTAGGAAGTTACTCCACCTTACAGAGTCTGAATTTCCCCTGATTTAGGAAGGCGATGCTAATGGGTATTGCATAGGTGTAAGTATAAAAATGTTGTATTTAAGAGAATCCCACAAGCTTGGTATAAGGCAGAAAATAAATAGATGTGACATGAATAAGTAGTTTATTACATTTGTATGCTACCTGCGGACTAGAGGAAGCAAGAAAAACAGCCACTATGCTTGATTAGCATTATAGAGATGGTACAATGATGGTTGCCAGAAGCTGGGGGGAGGAAGAAATGGGGAAGTATTGTTTAATGGGTATAGAGTTTCAGTTTTACAAGATGAAACGAATTATGGAGATGGATGGTAGGGACGGCTGCACAATGTTATGACTATATTTAGTACCACTGAACTGTACACTTAAAATGGTTAACAGAGTACATTTTATGTTATGTGTATTTTACCACAATAAAAAAATAAAATACCTTAGGAACATTTTCATGAAAAAGCCCACATAAAATTCATTTTAATGCACGTGTTTTTGCATAGCTTTCTATTTTTCTCTTTTCTCTTTATATTCCAAATTCTAATCAGAGAAGGGAATCCCCTCTGTACCTCCAGGATATTCAGTAAAGACCACTGGAGGTTCATGCCCTAGTGACAGTGCTCATTTAGCTCCAAATTACAGATGGCTCTAGACTAACTCCACAAAGTTTAAAGAGAAGATTTAAAACAACAACAGACAAATACGCATCCTGAAGTTACTGAACTGCCTGCCACAACATTGTTCAAAGGTAGCCAATAAAATCTAGATATTCAATAGCATAACATCAAAATACCCCCCCAAAAAAACTCTGACATGCAAAGAAGCCGTAAGATATATAAAATTAAGATATATATTAACAGGATAAAAATAAGTCATTTATAAATGACAGAAAAGAAGGAAATTTCAAGGTCCTTAAAGTAAATATATTTTATAAATACATATAGATAAATACATGTATATGTCAAGGTACTTAAATGAAAATTGAACATAGCAGAAAAATAGAAGTTATAAAATGAAAAATGTGACATGTATAGATGAAAAATAAATATTTGAAATAAAAATTCCATGAGATAGAATGTCATGGATTTTACCCTAACATTAGAAAATTTATAGAAAAAAAATAGAAGCTTTACAAACTAAAGTACAAGGGTAAACTAAAATAAGAAAGCCAGAAACTCACTGATACGTCAGACAACATGCAGCAGTGTAACATACATGTAATTAATGTCTCAAAAAGGATGGGTGGGGGAATTATACATGAATAAAGAATGGTACACTCATTCCTGAGGGCACCGAGGAGTGAGGATAGCTTTAGATTTGTAAGGGAGGGTATTATCCATTCAGGAAGGTCCAACCCCATGAACAAACACCTCCCAGTAAGCCCCACCTGCAACATTGGGGATCAAATTTTAACATGAGATTGGAAGGGGCAAGCATTCAAACAATAGCAAGAGTTAAATTTCCTTTTTAAAAAAATCACTTATATGATTCCATTTCGCCATAGATAAAAGCTAGTATTTCAGCCTACCATTGAGTGTGCTTATAGCTCACCAAAAGGGCACTCTGTCTCGGGAATACAGATTTGCCTACAGGTATCCTATTGCAGTCAAAGAAAGAGCAATGAGGGATAGAAAAGGTTAGTGATGGAGACACCAACGCTGCATTTTGCAACAAACAACGTAAAAATTTTACGGATTGGTTCTGCTAACTTACTACAGTTTACATTCCTCTCGGGGGAGAATTGTTGCGTTTTTTCTTAAGATAGAAAAGCAATTCAGATAATCTGAAATCTCCCCAAGAAGGATAAGACGCACAGCAGAAACTATTCTAGGCAGGAAGTCAATCCTTTCAACTGTCTGTGCTCCATAGAAACAATTGTCTGCACTGGGAGTCATATGAGGTACAGACAACAGCCAGAACTCTGATCCTCTCATTAGTGATTTCAGAAGAAATTACCAGTCAACTGAGTAATTCACTGAGTAAAGTAAACATTTGGCACTGAAAGAGGTTAGACGGATAACTATTTGTATCACCATATTCATGAAGCTGGAATATTTTCCATTACTGGTATCACATCCGAATGGAAGATGTTAAAAGGTCTCTCATCTTGTAAGATGGATATGAAAGAACATTTTCTGATAAATGAAATTATTAACACACCTGCGAGGTGGATGGAAGAGAAAAAAAAGAATAATCAGCTTGAGTTCTTCTCCTTGATAAGACAACTCACTAAAAACATAAAGAGAAAAATACAAGTTTAAAATAATTAACCAGAAGAAGACGACTCTAGAGTTTTTAAATTGCTGATAAGATTTTAATTTGCTCCAAGTTGAAAATAATTATATTGCTTGTGTTTTAAGGCACATAATGAGCAATTATATCACACATGATAGTTTCAGCAGTAAAATATTATCAGTTAACAGCTGGAACTCATAAAAGCATAGCACTATGTGAAGACGGAATTTGCTAAAATAAACCATCTGCTGAAAACTACTATTCTGCAAATTTAAAAATAAAGTTTAAATGTTATTTGTCTTATTTAATAGGTCTGTGAAAAAATGCGCTCTTTGAAAAGCAGCTGCTACCTTAATTAATTCTTTATATTAGACGGCTGGTTACAGTAATGCACAGTAAGGTGCTACATAGATATATTGCTAAATTATCTGCATATACTATGTATTTGGCTTAAATTATTTGAAATTTTATAGTTAAAATAACAAATGTATATTTAAATGTTTTGACACAAATTGCAAATATACCTTTAAAAAGCGTCTTACACTCTAAATATTATTTGTCACATATATATTTGTCTTTTCTCTATAGGAAAGTTTAAATTTTTCCCTTGAAGCTTTAATTATTTGAGTCTATAAAACAAACCAAAAATGTACAAATTAACAGGAAAAAAAGGTTTACAGATATGTGCACAAGTATGCACTTGGAGTTTACATAATATATATGAATATATCTATACACATATTTGTATATTATAAATAGATATACAAATATATACTATATATATAAAAACTCCAGGAAAGGCAAGGTAGTCAACACGCCTATGCCGTCTTGAGGTTACAGAAAACACAGAGCTGTAGGTTGGTAAATCAGGCTTTGCGGAAGACAGGTGATGACAAGGAAGAAAGAGGAGCCTGGTAGCAGAGGTGGTCTTGTTCCATGGATGAAACCTCACAGGGAGCAGCCCTCCTCTTGGGAAGTATAGATAGGAAATGGTTTTTAGAAATGTAAACGTGCCAGGCTCAGTTAATCTTTCCTAAACCCACACAAGGGAGTATCTCAGGAAAAGACTGTCTATATCAATGCAGATTTTCTCTACAAATGCAAGTCTCCCCAACAAACACAGCTTTTCAGCTATTCTTGTAGAAGAAGCTATCTCCAGTCTTCCGAGCAGCCATCTTGAAATATGTCAAAAAGCTGCCCAGGCGCACGCCTGTAATCCCAGCACTTTGGGAGGCTGAAGTGGGTAGATCACCTGAAGTCAGGAGTTGGAGACCAGCCTGACCAACGTGGTGAAACCCCGTCTCTACTAAATACAAAAAATTAGCCGAGTGTGGTGGTGCATGCCTGTAATCTCAGCTACTTGGGAGGCTGAGCTAGGAGAATTACTTGACCCTGGGAGGCTGAGGTTGCAGTGGGCCAAGATTGTGCCATTGCACTCTAGCCTGGGCAATAAAAGCAAAACTCCATCTCAAAAAACAATGTATTTTAGGGTAATATTTTCAGTATCTTTACCTCCATATATACAATAAATATTATTGTGATTTTTAATCTTTTTTGTGGAGGAAACACAGGTGTGATTTCTAGTGTAGCTGAACATCATTTATTTGACAATATTGCACTTGTGTGTGGGTGTGTGCGTGTGTAGCTACTCTTTAATTTTGTTCTCACATAATGATTAGATATTAACAATTAATTCAGTAAAATGTATGTTTTGCAATATTTCTCCATGTTATCATGCTTTAAATTAGTTTAATCATGCCCCTATAATGTGTACATTTTAACCTTTGACTATAGGTCTCAATCTTACTTTGGTTCCTGTATTTGAATTTATGCTAATAAAGTCCTACAGCTAAAAAAGATTATATAAACTTATCTACATTTTTACTAGTATTCTGGTGTCATTTTAAATTATGTAATAAAATCAAATTTTAATTTGGATTATTCTTATCTGAGTTAAGGATCTAAATTTTTAATATTCTTATAAATATTACATAATTATTTCTGAACCATATATTGACTAATCTGCCCTTTATATGATGTGCATTATAAGAGCTTGGGATTGTTTCATTTGCAAAGATGAATGCTTGAGAAGTAGATATTTAATCATAACGTTTCAAAATCTATTGGATAACTTAGAATTGAAAAATAGCCTATAGGTTGAAAAACTCCTGTAGTGAAGGAAGAAAATAACTAATATACAGTGACAATATAAATATTATAAGTATTTATTTTATTATCACCCTGAAATTTGATAATACAAACATGTAATATCTACATATCATCCATATATCATGTCATAAAAAATCAATACATTCTTCAAAAATTTAGCATAACAGAAAATGAACTCTCTCTCCTTGATGGAATTAAGTTACAAATAAAAGTAAAAAATAAATAGATAAGTAGATGGAAGTAGATGTTTGAAAACAAAGAAAAATACTTGTTTTGGATAACATAAAATCTCAATTGACAATTCCAATATTTCCAGAACTTTGCCTGTCAACTGGTGGAGAGTTTTCCCCAGGAGACATTTGTCAATGTCTAGTGTTATTGTGGGGATGTCAAGACTGGTGGAGGTGTGAAATTTAGAGGTCAAACGAAACACCTAGCATTGCTAGGGCAGCCTCCCACAGCAAAGAATCCTCTGGTCCTAAAGGTAAGTAGCACCAAGGTTGAGAAACCATAATCTAGACAGTAAACACTACGTAGCTATTCCAAGTGCTCAGGAAAACACATCAGTGCCCTCGGGGGGAAAAGTGTGAACATTTTAATTGCCGTACATGGTGACACAAATCCATGTTGTTAATCTAAGTGGAAGGGGCTGAAGCACAAAACGTAATTCAAAGAGTTTACTTAAGCCAAAATGAGGACAGCTGCCTGGAAGAAACAGACCCAAGTATCCTTGGATATGAACTCCCTTTGGAGCTTTGCAACAAGCAGTTTCTTAAAGGCAAAAAAGGGTCCAGAAGTGGGATGATGCAAAGAGGTTTGTCACAAATTCTCATTGGCTTATGGAAATAACATTTATTAGTGACTGGCTATACACTGTTACACTATTATTGGGTGTGGATTATACTATCTGGTGTGGCGTTATTGGTTAATTAATAGCTACTGTGGCAACAGCAAGCAGCCTAGATGAACACACAGCTCAAAGAGGAGCAGGACAGAACTGCTGTCTCATTTGAATATCTCTCTGGGCCTGATTATTTAAAAGGACTTGCATTTCTCACATGAAAGTTATTTTCTTTTCTCAATGTCCATAAATGAGAATAAATAGACGTAAAATAGATCTTTTCGAGGATGAAGTAAATGGAATGAAAAACAAAACCCAAGCTGACCAGAAATCATAGAGGGAAGAAAAGGTTATAAATATATGGATTTGTCAGAGTGATTTTAAGCTATTAGGAATCAGTTAAATGTTGGGGGATTTTGTCTGAGAATGGGCTAAAGGAGAATGTCCCTTTTGCCTTCTGAAGTTTCCCTGAAAATCACTAATAGGAGGCAGATAAATAGTAGAAAAGGCATACAGGTTTCTGCAATGTGTGTACACTGGAGCCATTAGAACGAAGACCCAGACACATGATGCGTGCAGAAGCTTATCTACCACATGAAGTTTACAGAAAGAATGGGGTCTTGGATCACAGGAAAAAAAAAAAGGTTATGTGAGAAAACCACCCTGGCTAGCAACAGTGGACTTTTTACATAGGTGAAACCTCACTGGGAGCAGTCCTCAGAAAGAATAGACAGAAAATGTTTCTTTCAGACCTTTGGAGACCTCAGATGCTCAGTTAACCTTTCCTAGATCCAGACAAGGGGGCAGACCTCAGAGAAAGCCTGGCTGCATCAAGGCAGATTCTCTACCGATGCAAATCTCCCCAAGACAGCTTTGCAGCTAAGTTTGCATTCCCAGCCCTTCTCAATAGCCATTTTGAAATATATCAAGGAAATATATTTAGGGGTAAAATATATTAGTTTCCTTCATACAGCTATAAAACATACAGGAATAATTTTTGTCAATGTCTACTACAAATCCAATGTAGCAGTAATTATAAAACCCACCAGATATTGAAGAAAAAATATGTAGAGTACATCAATTACAAATGTTGATACTAAAATGCCAAATAAAATAAAAATAATATCCAACAATGTTTGAAACAGTAAGACAAGAAATTGGCAAAAAAAATAAAACAAATATCCACCTTGGGGATGAAAGTGTGTTTCCAAATTTGGTAATCCAATAATATTAATAATAATATTGATTAGCCCAAATTAAAAATAAATAGGGGATTCTCAGTACATGCTAGAATATATTTGTTAAAAGGCAATATTCATGTCTGTAAAGATTTTAAATGCTGTAAAGAGTCTGATATTCTATATGCAAACGTGTGTATGTCCATTAGAAGAAGAGAGGCCTGATTTTCATATGTTACTACATAGAGATAGAGAAGTGGGTAGATTAATTTGCATATGCATAGAGAAAGCATAAAATAGAAATTTACTATCATATTAAAGGAATTTTAATTCAACAATAAAATAATTCAAAGGTAAAATTTTAAATATTTTTAACAGGTACATTATTAATATTAGATAATATTTATGATAATTGTGAAAATATTCAATGCTAAAATAAGATACAATGTCTAAACATCAGTATTAAAACTAGTATAAATATTTGCTTGTTTGTACAAGGAAAATTCAAGCTTGACCTAAAATTATATAGGAAATAAAAGAAAAATTTTAAGGGAGCTCTTTAATAACATAAACATATATATATATACACACACATATATAGCATGTATATATGTTATATGGGATAGATATAGATTTAACATGTTATATCTATATTTGTATCTATAACTACAGCTGTATGTATCTACATTTCTATATATTTACTCAGTGATATAAATATAGACTGGAATAAATATAAAGACACATATTATTCTTGGATAAAAAGGATTTAGTATCATAAAGACAAATTATTTCCAAATTCACTTATGAATTCACAACAATATACAGTTTCATTAGTATAATTTAAAATTTTTAAATAAATTCCAGGATTCATTTAAAGGAATATACATGTATACAAGCAGTCAAGAAAGAAGCAAGAGTGCACTAAAGTAACTTGCTATTGAAATACATTTTTAAACTTAGTAACTAAAACTGAGCAGTACTGATTTGGAGTACTGGAATTTAGGTATATGGGATCTCAAAAGCACAGAGCTCAAAGGAGACCCCTGTATGCACGAGAGCTTAGGATGTGCTTTGGAAGGCATTACCAAACCACGGGCAAAGTTACTTTAGTTTCTTAGTCTTACTAGGTTTGAAAAGCCAGAGAAAAGACTCAAGACCACCATATAAGAGCAAAACAAAAGGACAGGGAGAGAATGTGAAGATACTGAAACTTTTACATAAAGTTGTATAAAATATCCTTTAAAGAAAATGTAAAGTTTAGGATATACATCAAAATCAGCAGAACCACTAAATAAATAAATAGGCATTGTAAAATAGCAAGAGAAAATTTAAATGGATTTCTAAAAAATATTGACACCTATGATTTTTAAAATATGTTTAAGATATCCCGTATTTCACAGGGCAGCCTTTCACAACACAGATATGTTAGGACATAAAGGTTCTTCTGTTTTTAATTTACTAGTGTTTATAGGGTAACAAATGTCTTCTACCCTTGTCTTTTGTCTGATGGTGCAAAAAATTTTCATAAGCATGTATTTCTGAATGCCTGATGGATTGACATATATAATATGCTGCTAGTATTAAAATATGTGACGGAAAACGCATCCAATCTTCTCACTGTTTACATAAATTCTAGGTTTCTCCTATTTACCTCAAGCACGTATGGAGCGAATTCTTACCTTTTAATATTGCCATGGCATTCACATTGAACATAAGTTGAACTCTCTCATATGGTAGCTGGGTTCAGATTCCCTTGACAATTTCCAATTCTAACCCTCACAGTTCCTCAGTGTGGCTGGCCTAGATATTGACCCTACACAGTTGCCTCCTCCTGGTGACTACCAGCTATGGAACCGTTGGATACAACCTACCTGACTCACCCCACAGACCTCACAGCGCACATGGACAGCCCCCACACGCCAGAGTGACCTGCTCGGTTGCAGCGGGAGTCAAGAAATGTGCCTGCTGGCACTCAACCCACAGACTAGTGCCCCGTGGAAAACTTATTTGGGTAATGTTCTGGGCCGAATAAAGGCTGGAGTCCCACAGACCCCTTTTCTCTCTCCTGCTCCCCACTCATCTTCCCCATTTTGTTCAGCCCTATGAGGTGTGCTACTGTATTAGTCCGTTTTCACACTGCTGGTAAAGACATGCCCAAGACTGTGTAATTTCCAGAAGAAAGAGTTTTAATAGACGCACAGTTCCACATGGCTGGGTAGGCCTCACAATCATGGTGCAAAGTGAAAGGCACGTCTCACATGGCAGCAGACAAGACAAGAGAGCTTGTGCAGGGAAACTCCCCTTTATAAAACCATCAGATCTTGTGAGACTTATTCACTATCAGAAGAACAGCATGGGAAAGACCTGCCCCCATGATTCAATTACCTCCCACCTGTTCCCTCCCACAACATGTGGGAATTCAAGATGAGATTTGGCTGGGGACACAGCTAAACCCTCTTCTCAGCTACCCTCTTCTCTCTGGATCTGTGAGTAATAAACCTACTTCTGTGATTTCCCATGTTTGGTTCTGTGGCCTCCATGGGTCTGAGCTGACCTACACTGGAACCTAACTCTCCTCCTGGCCAGGGTCTCTGAGAGTGGCTCTTGTCAGAAATACACAGGACACAGGTCAGGCAACAGTCACCAGGCATCTCCTAGTCTCAACAGATGTTCTGTGAGAGGGAGGCTTGGTCGTGGGATGCACATCTGGCCACTGCTGGGGTAAGGAAGTGTCCTGTGAAAGGCACATGTTAAGCATCCACAACCCCCTGACCATAACCCCAGAAAGGCAGGGCTCCAATTCACAGTCACTCTCCAGAGACAAACCTCAAGCCCTAACTGGAGGAAAAGAAAACAATGTAAAAAGTTGAATTTATCTTACTATTTCAATGATCCAGTAAAGACATTCTATGCCTGTACACCACATATTTTCTTCGATTGTGGATTTATTTTAGATAGAATTTTATGTCTGGCTTTCACTTTAGCCTGGTCCCTACCTCAAGCATAAGGTAAAGATTTTCCATGGGTTCTTTTCTGATACTACTATCTGCCAGTGTGGGGTCATGTCCTAGTCTATCTTGAGGGAATCCCCCTGTTCATTATTGTCAGAGTGAGACTGTTAAGTCTTGATTTCCCTGGACAACTTCACTGCATGACTTTTAATATGATTTTTTAATATTCCCTTTACTGGACAATAAATTATATAGTTATCTGAGTAAGAGATATGGTCAGGAAGAGGCATTGCCTCATTCAGCTTTTCTCTTTGGTGAACTCGCATATGTTCTCCTCACCCGCCAGTCACCTCTAAACCGTATTGTTCCAAGACAACAAAGAGAACTCGAGTGTGTATCTTTCACCACTGGATTTGTGTTTGCTCCATAAAGCTTCATGCTTAATAGGGTTTCTGTTAGCATTTTCTCTGTTTATTTTCCCATAAAATATCACAGGCCTTTTTCATATGGAATTATGGGTGATTTCCTTCAATTTGCATCATATCAAGTTGAGGTTCATGTTGATGAAAAGTAAAACATACATTGAAAATATCAGTAATGATGTTTTCCCCTCCTTTTTAGCACCAGTGCTTGTGATACAAGCACATTTTAATACAATTGTAGTCTCATGCTTTGATCATTCCTATGATGAAAATAACATTTTTAGATAAAATATCTGAGTTTTATGAGGCCTTTAGTATGTGATGTGATAGAATATCAGAAGACCATACTTTTTTCTAGTTTTCTGTGCAATTCTATCATTGTTTCATCTTTACTCCTACCAGAGTAATTTTCCAAAATAGATATCTTGTCATTCTTCCTCTTGTTATCAGTAAATAAGTGAAATGAAAAGCTAGATTATATAATTTATCTAGAACAAGAAAGTAGAATTGAATCTACATTCATTAATGAGACTAACCAGTCAATTACACAGATAAGCATTTTACATGTTGAAGATCATATGGACCCATTGTCAGAAATATTATTATTTATGTCTATATGGACATCACCTGTGCATATTTACATAGAAATCAATGAGAGCTGATTTTTATTTTTATTATATATATTTTTTGAGATAGGGTCTTGGTTTTTTGCCCAGGCTGGAGTGCAGTGGTGCAATCACTGCTCACTGCAGCCTCAACCTCCCAAGCTCAAGCAATCCTTCCACCTTGGCCTCCCAAATAGCTAGGACAACAGGTGCACACCACCATGCCCACTTTTTATTTTTTTAACTTTTGATAGAGACTGGGTCTTGCTATGTTGCCCAGGTTGCTTTTGAACTCCTGGGCTCAAGGAATCCTCTCATTTCAGCCTCTTCAACTGCTGGTATTACAAGCATGAACCACCATATGGGCCGGAAGCTGATTTTTAAAATACTGAGATCATATAGACGACAACACCTGAAAAATAGACAACACCAAGCTTTATGTTAAAAGGTGTGAGGGTATCAATATTGTTGTGGCTATTGGGGAGGAAAACATTAGTAAAACCAGTGAGTTAAAGCTGTTGCTTTAAACTTTGGCTTTAATTTAACAAATGTTCTATGGAGTGACAGTATGTATGTAACCATGCTATGCCCATTCACAGATGCAGTAGAGGGAAGAATTTCTCAAAGACAACTGTTCTAAGACTCAAATTAAACCGTACTGGGTTTGAAAAGAGAAAGTCCAGGGATTACCAAATATTTTAGATATCAGATAAAAGAGAATGCCAGATATGCGATGATAATCAGCAATGGTTGTTCACACAATACATCAAATCAGTATTTGAATTAGCTTTTGAATTACAAGGACAAATGGACCAAGTCTAGACTCCTTAGTAGATAAATCTTATTAGGCTGAGATGTGTTTTCCCCTGTTTTTCCACAATTAGATTACAAATTTGCAAACCTCAGCTGCTCTCATTTTATGCTCTCACCAAGCTAAAGCTGAAGTTCATCAATCAGTGTGTCTAAGTGTTCACTGGTTATATACCATTTTGTAGTTTCAGCTATCTTTCCAACTTCCTAAATCATCACCTTCATTTGATCTTGTTTTTTTCCACTATCACTTCTTTATTGACCATATAAAGAATATAAGTGAGTTCTTATTTTGTTATTGTTCATTTTAGTCTAATTTCATCAAAATATCACAATCTTTTAATTTCATTTTAATTTCAAAGATTAAATGAAACCTACATAGAAATGTGTGTAAGATTTGCATTTGCATTATTTTGGCATCAATTTGCTATCCTCCCTCATGCACATAGAGATCATTTCCACGTACGTGATTTCAAACATCCAAGTGCAGTATTAAAAGCAGTTGTAAATTATGGTTCTCATTTTCATGATACAATTACAATATAAACTTCCTCTTGCTGCTGTAACCAATTACCACAAACTTCATATCTTACAATAAAGTGACCATTAATCCTACAGTTCTGTAGTTCAGAAGACTTGAATGAAACTCACAGGGCTAACATCAAGTTTTGGGCAGGGCTGCAGTCTTTCTGAGGGCTATGTGGCAGAATCTATTACTTGATTTTTTTCAGCATCCAGAGGCCACCTTTATTCCTTGGAACATGACCTCATTCTTATATCCTATTTTTCTTTTTTTTTTTTTTTGAGATGGAGTCTCCTTCTGTCACCCAGGCTGGAGTGCGGTGGCATGATCTCAGCTCACTGCAACCTCTGCCTCCCGGGTTCAAGTGATTCTTCTGCCTCAGCTTCATGAGTAGCTTGGACTACAGGCACTTGCCACCATGCCCAGTTAATTTTTTGTATTTTTAGTAGGGATGGGGTTTCACCATGTTACGCAGGATGGTCTCGATCTCCTGACCTCGTGGTCCACCCACCCCAGCCTCCCAAAGTGCTGGGATTAGGCGTGAGCCACCGCGCTGGGTCCTCATTCTTGTATCTTAAAAGTCAGTGATGTTGAGTAATTTCTCATGCCACCACCTCCAAGGTTGCATTTCTTCTGTCTTCTTCTTTCACTTATAAGGAAGTTTGTGATTTCATTGATCCCACCCATTTAAGACAATCTCTCTATCATTTTTCCGCAACCTTAATTTCACTTGAAATCTAATTTCACACTGCCGTGCAACCTAACATATTTGTATGTTAGACTCTGGGAATTAGGACATGAAAATTTTTGGGAGGCCATTCTTTTGCCTGCAGCAGACATAATCTATTTACCTGCAGATTAAAGCGTTCTTTATTTTTCTGTCTCCCTCTCTTAATTTTTTAAAAATAATATGAATTGTAGTAAAGAGAAAGAAAAGAAAACAAAGAAAAAGAAGGAAGGAAAGAAGGAAGGAAATAAAGAAAGAAGAAAGAAAAGGAGGAGGAAATGAGGGAAGGAAGGGAGGGAGGGAGGAAGGGAGAAAGGGAGAAAAAAGAAAACATGAACACAAGAAAGAAAGAGGGAAGGAAAGAAAAGAAAGAAAGAAACAGAAAGGAAGAGAGAAAGAGAGAAAGAAAGAAAGGAGGAAGGGAGGAAGAAAAGGAGGAAGAGAGAATGGTAAAAGGGAGGAAGGCAAAGAAACAAAGAAAATAAAGAGGCGAAGGAAGGAAGGAAAAAGAGGAAAGGAAGGGAGGGAGGAAGGAAGAAAAGGAGGGCGGGAGGAAGGGAGAAAAAAGGAAAGAAAGCAAGAACGTGAGAAAGAAAGAAAGAATACGAGAAAAGAAGGAAGAAAAGGGAGGGAGAAAGGAAGGGAGGGAGGAGGGAAGGAAGAATAAGAGGAAAGAAAGAAAGAAGGAAAGAAGGAAGGAGAAAAAAGAAAAGAAAGAAAGGAAAAGAAAAAAGAAAAGAAAAGGAAGAGGAAAAGAAGAAAGGAAGGAAGAAGGCAAGGGAAGGGAAGAGAAGACAAAGGAAGATGGAAAGAAGGAAGACCGCAAACATTAGAAATTCTGGGTTTGTTAGAGAATATGCCATACTGTTTTTTTTTCACTTGAAAGGAAAGAGTAGCTGCCATTGAAGATTGGATGTCTTGTTGGCGATATTGTTGTTCTTATCTTCCACATGATTACTGAGTTTGTGCCTAGTCTTTCCATTACTAAGACAAAAGTGTTGAAGTCTGCAAATATAATTTTGGATTTTTCTAGTTCACCTTTGATTCTTTCATGTTTTACCTCACGTATTTGGAGGCTCTGTTGTTAGCTGCATACCCTAATTAGTAGGATGTTTACATCTTCTTGAGAATTGATTATTCTATTATCTATTATCTCTCATCTCTGATACTATTTCTTGTTCCGAACTCTGTTGTGTCTAATATCAATGTAGTCCTTCCACAGCCTTATTTTAGTGTTTCCATGATATGGCTTTCTCCATATCTTGATGATAACCTATTTATATCTCTATATATTTGGAGCAAGATATAAAATTTCGACTTGATTTTTTAAAGATTTTTCAAGATGGAATTCTTATTTCTTTTTGTTCTATTTGACATTCTCTGAGTTTCCTATATCTGAAGTTTGATTTTCTGTCACTTCTTTTAGAATATTTTTGGCAGTTATTTTGAAATATATTTCTTTTGCTCCATTATTTTTTCCTCTTTTCTTTTTGGGATTTCAATCATAACTAGAGTAGGCAATTTCATCTCAGTCTTATGCAGGTACATTTTCTCAGGGTCTCAGGAATGTAGCCTTCTCACACTTCTGTTCTTTTCCTGGCTGTGTTGGTGAGCTCAGTGATATTCCTCCTTCACCTTTAAGAGCAGTTTTGTTTTGTTTTTCCTGTTTTCATACTCCCAGCATCAGGAGTATTCTAAGTGTGGCAGTTTTTGTTGCCTTCCCCTACATATTAAGTGGAATATCTTGGTCTATTTGGACCCTTATAACAAAATAACATAAACTGGGTGACTCAAAAACAACAGATATTTCTTTTTTCACACTTCTTGAGGCTGTAAGATCTCAGGTCAAGATGCTCACAAATTCAGTGTTGATGAGAGCCCATTTCATGGATCATAGATGGTGCCTTCTTTCTATGTCCTCACACAGTGGAAGTCACACAAGAACTCCATTGAGCTTCTTTTATAAAGGCACTAATCCCATTCATAAGGGCTCGGCCCCCAAGACCTGGTCACCTCCCAAGTGTTCTGCTCTCCCTGATCTGTGTCATATACAGACTCTCTTGGATTCCTTACCAATTGCTTGAGAGATCACAGTGGGTTTGTGGGGAAAAAGTTTTCAAGATGATGGATCTTTCCCAACTTCTGCAACTGTCAGCGGTCTCCCAATCTCACCAGCCCCACTTTGTCTTTAGGAATTTATTGATTATTCCAGCTTTACTTGTCATAGTGGTGTCTATTTGCATCTGTCCTATGTAAGTGCATCTGTCCTCTTTCTCCTTGCAGGTGCTTGTTTTCCCTCACATTTTGACTCAGTTCTTGGCAACCTGGTTGCTCTAAAAATAAAGTCATGACTTTGAAGTTAGTTTGGTTCTTTCATTGTTGTCAGGTTAGGAACCCTATTCCATCCCAGATCTCCAAAACCCAGACTTTTTGGGGGGTTGAAATGTTAGGCTTTCTCTTTGAATTGTAGTTTTATCTTCTTTCAGTTACCATTTGCATTTTCATAATGATTAATGAGACTAAGCTTTTTTTGTGTAGTTGACTGTACCTTTGGATTTTTTTCCCAAATACCTTTTTATTTCTTCTTTTCTTTATGGTTTTAGAAAATGTAGTTTACATAATTGCAGCTTGATTTGTTACTCAGTTAATGGCATGCTTAATGGAGAGAAAAAATATTAAATATATTTCCCTTTTTAATTACTGTGCTTTTTTCTTTTTTAAGGAAATGTTTCATTATGTTAAATTTCAATGTTATTCTACTTAGCTATTCCTTAAATATTATAATATTTTGGATTTCACATGTACATTTGTAACATATCTTGAGTTTATTATGTATAGAGTAAGGCTATTTTCTTTTTGAAGGTAAAAATCACATAATATAAAATTAATAACAACCATTTTAAAGCATACAATGCACTTGCTTTTAGTATATTCACAATGTTCCAGGGCAATTTCATCATGTCCCTTCCAAAAACCCATTATGCATAAAGTTGTTACACCCTATTCTGCTTCCCTGAGCCCTAACGACCACTAATCTAATTTATATCCCAATTGATTTGCCAATTCCTGATGTTTCATGTGAATAAAATCAAGTAATATTTGTCCTTTTGTGCACTTAACATAATGCTTTCAAATTTCACCCATATTATAACATATATAAGTACTTCATTCTTTGTTATAGCTGAAAATTGGGTGTCCATTTATGAGTCAACAAGCGTATGGATTGTTTCCACTTTTTGACTGTATGAATATTACTGCTGTAAATATTCATGCACATGTTTATTTTTTGAGCACCTATGTTTTGTAAGATTAACAGCTGACTTAAGAGAAACAATGGAAGGCAAGAGGCAGTAGAATAATATATTCAAAAGATGCAAAGGAAAAAAAACTCTCGGCCACGAATTCCTTATCCAGCAATTATTTTTCAAAAATGAAGATAACACAAAGACTTACCCAGATAAACAGAAATATTAACTGAAGTTGTTGCTGGCAGACCTACCACATTAAAAAAAACGCTAAAATAAATTCCTAAGGCTAAAAGCAAGTCACAGAAGACAGTCACTTGAATCCACATTTTTAAAAAAGTACTGGTATAGGTAACATTGACATTATAAAAGACAGTAAAAATGCATTTTTTCTCTTTATCATAAATTGTTTATTAAATAACATGTGTATAATAGCCGGGCACGATGGCTCACACCTGTAATCTGAGCACTTTGGGAGGCCAAGGCGGGCGTATTACAAGGCCAGGAGATCGAGACCATCCTGGCTAACACAGTGAAACCCCGTTTCTACTAAAAATACAAAAAATGAGCCGGGCGTGATGGCGGGCGCCTGTAGTCCCAGCTACTCGGGAGGCTGAAGCAGAAAAATGGCATGAAGCCGGGAAATGGAGCTTGCAGTATGCGGAGATTGTGCCACTGCACTCCAGCCTGGGTGACAGAGGGAGACTCCGTCTCAATGATAATAATAATAATATGTGTATAATGTATTGCTGAGTTTTTGACATGTAGAAATGTAATACGTCTATAACATATTTTCCAGTAACATCAAAAAGGAGGTAGTTGGAAGAAAAATGTATTGTGATAAGGTAATCACTCTAGATGGTAAAGTAATAATTACTAAAATGTATTGTTGGCTTTGTAACTTTAATAGATGTAATGTGTAAAGTGATAATACTTTAAAATGGAGGAAATAAAAGAGATTTATATAAGAATGATGTTTCTATGTATTACCAGAAGTTTACTAGTATAAATTGGAAGATGATTTGAATAATTAATTTTCCATATACCTATATGGTAAACTTACAACAACAACAAAAATTCTCAAAAATATATAATAAAATAATTCATTAGTAATCTAAAGTTCCCTATTTTAGAAAATATTCTTTCATTGCAAAATAAAGCAATAAAGAAAAATATTTGAGAAATATATAAAACAAACGGTAAAATGGCAGACATAAATAGAATTATACCAATTATAATCTTAAATGTGAGCAGATTAAAATCCATTCCAGAGGCAGAGATAGTCAGACTGGATTAAAACAAGTGATCCCAATATACGCTGAGATGCAAGGATACTAATGGATTGAAAGTAAAAAGATGACAAAAAATATCATGCAAAGAGCAATCATAAGAACACTGAACTCATTATACTCATAACACACAACATAGACTATTAAAAATGTGAATAGAATTTTAAAAATTATATTGTAGTAAAACGGGGGTCAACGCTTTAGGAAGACATAGCTATTACAATCATGTATGCACAGATATGAGCTAAATTGTTTCCTTTATATAGATGCTGAAATTCTAACCACTGAATATGACCTCATTAGGAAAATAGGTTCTTTGCAGCTGATCAAGTTAAGATACAATCAGATGAGCCTGAATTCAATATGACTGATGTCCTTATTAAAAGAAGAGATTTGAGTAGAGGGAGACATACACACAGGGAGAGTACCATGTGATTATGAGGACAGAGATTAGCCAAGGAATGCCAAAGACTGCCACTAAACCATCAGAAGCGAGAAACAAGGCACAGAACAGGCTTTCTCTCATAGCCCTTGAAGGGACCATCCCTGCTGACCCCTCAATCTCAGACTTTTAGCTTCCAGGACTATAAGACTATAAATGTATGTTGTTCATGGCACCCAGTTTGTGTTACTTGGTTATGGCAGCCCTAGGAAACTAATACATGAACTAATAACAAAGCATAATAACATGAAGCAAAAATTGACAAAAGAGGAGCATCAGCAAAATGGCAGTGGAGACAGCTGCAATCTTTCATTTCCCCACAGAAACATCACACAACTAAGAGAAACTGTCCAAATAAACTTTGCCAAAACTCTGGAAAACAGTCAAAAGATTACAACAACCGAGTGAAAGCAGACTCAAGAAAAAGACAACTTGAAAACTTTATGACATTTTTAGCTTGCCTTTGCCCCAGCAAATTGGCAGTTTTGAAGTGTCAGAAGCCCACGTTCCCAGTGAGGAACACTGGTCCATGGTCCAAAGGAACAAGAGAAGATCTTACCCGCAAATTACTATGTGTCTGTTCTGACTGGTCTGGGGGATACCTAAAGGACTCATGAAAGGCTTTTGTTTTTCTGTGTTGCTAGAATACAGAACAGATAAGGAATGGACATTATCAAGGAACTCTGCAAGGAGACCTAACAAACCACAGATGCTTAGGGCAAAAATTAGAGTTTACACATATAGTAGATCACCTTCAGCACAGGAAGAAAAGTTGGAGAAGAGTATTTGGAAAACTAAGACATTCAAAATTATTCACGTACATGGGAGAGTCTAGAAAGTCACATGTATGCATAGGTTAAGCCACATGCTGACAAATGTCATAAGAAGACCCTACACTTTTACCTTGGCCGATCCCTCCCCTCAGTGCAAGCTCTGTGCAAGAGTGAACTTGAACTTCACTCAGTGCAAGAGTGAACACACACTTTGTGCCGGCTTTAAAGAACCCAGCACAAAGCCAGTCTGCATGGCCTAGAAGCATATTTTGCTGGACAATGATTACTTGTTTTTCTTTTTGTTTTTGTTGTATTTGCCTCTTTGCTTACTTCCTGACATACAAGAAAATCACTGTCAAAACATTAGCTTAACATTTGTTAAGGAAACAAAAAGACTTCGGTGACCACACCTTATAAAGCAAACAGTTTTGTAAATCACTTTGGAAAATTTCACTAAAAAAAAAATCCTTAACAATATAATAAGTAAAGAAAATTTAAAACCCCAAAACATTACTGTGTTTGTAGGGGAGGGTCTGATTTACAGAGTAACCACATAGTAATTATAATTATTATAATGCCCAGTTTTCAAAAAAAGTTACAAGGCATACAAAGAACGGGAAAGTATGGCTCATTCAAAGGAACAAAACAAACTGACAGAAAATATCTCTAAGGAAACCCAGACTTCAAACTTACCAGACAAAGACTTTAAAACAACTCTCTTAATTATACTCAAATGTCACAAGGAAAGCATAAACAAAGAAATAAAGGATTCAGAAAAAATATTAAAAAGTAGGAATATCAACAGAGATAGCAGAAATTCTGGAGTGGAAAACTACAATGATAAAAATTTAAAAATCACCAGAGGGATTTAAGAGTATATTTGCACACACAGAGGAAGTCATGAGCTTGAAGATAAGAAAATGGAAAATATTGACTCTGAGAAACAGATAAAAAATGAGCAGAGACTAAGGAATCTGTGGGACATCATCAAATAGACCAACGTTCATATTCTAGAAGGATAAATTATGTTGTTGAAAACTTTAGCATTCTTTCTTTTCACCTTCCTCCCTCTTCCTCCTCCTTTTTACTTTTCTTCCTCTTCCTTTCTCTTCTTCTTTCTCTCCTTCATTATCCCTTTCGCTCTGTTTCTCTTTCTCCCTTTCTCTTTTTCCTTTTCTTTCAATTTTCTCCATTACTAAGAGATGTTTGAATACCCTTACCATGTGAGTTGATATGGTTATTTCTCCATTTAATCCTCTTTTGAGATTTATAGTCTCTCTAAGTAAAGAGATAACCCAAACATAAGCCTCACAAACAGGCTTCCATACCATTCTTAATTTGGTCCTGTAATTCTTCATTGCTGTATTAACTTTCTGATGCTTTTAAGGATGTTTTACAACAAATTGTTTAGTTTTTTCCACTGGAATGTTTATTCTCAATTATCTAATTCATACTGTAAGTATAGAGGGAGTTTAATATAAAATTATTAAACTAATATTTGTGAAAGAACGTATTTGTGCATTTAACAAATATGTTAATCCTCAGACTGTTATTGGGCAGCTGAGCATACAGCAATAAAAATAACATAATTTTTATGTGTACAATATTTATGGAATACGTTACTGGAACAAATAAATAATTTAGTTAATAACATGACAAAGAACAGAAATTGTATACACTATAGAGCATAGTAATGGAATAATGATTGAAGTTATTAATATTAGGTAGAAAATGAAGGGTATCTTTGAGAGCAGAACTCAAGGAAACAAGCAATTCGCCTTATGAGGAAAGAGTTACCTGTGGATAAAGGAGAAACTGAAAAATTTACAAGTCAAGACTTTTTGTGCAAAAACAAAAATATGATTATTAGTCACCAATTCAGTACAGTGAAAAAAAAGTTGAAGAGATATCTTGGAAGTAAACAATATTGTGGAAGAGCATGTAGGGTTTTGATAATCAGGGGATTATTCTGAATTAATTTTAAATGCGATAGGAATATATGAGATAACTTAACCAGAGAATAACATGATTGTGTTTGCATTTCAAAGGGGTGTATCTTGTGCACCGTGTAGAATAAATAGGTTTTGTGAGCAAATAAATTGGGAGGCTACTCTAATCCAGAGAAAAAAGGTAGTGACTTAGGTGAGAATGCTGTCAGGATGAGTGGTAGTAGTGGTGAGAAGTCATTAGGCCATGGATGTATTTCATAGGACTAGCCAAGAGAACTGCAGCTAAATTGGAGTGTAGGGAGTCAAATGGAGAACTCAAAGATGACTCTCAGCACTGGAAAGTGACACTGAAGCATGCTGATGCCTCTTATTAAGAGAGTTACTTGGGAATGGCAAGATCAAAACTTCTCACTTTCAAATTTATGAAAAATATTGTTTTCAGAACGAATGACTTTGGGATCAGAAAGCCATCATTCTAATTGATGGTTCCAAGACTACACGGGCTCACACTCCCAAGAACAAAAGTAAATCATCACAAAGGTGCTTCCTGATAATTCTAGAGAATGGAGAATTACTGTAACATCTTTCTGATTTTAGGAGAGGTAGCAGTTCCCCGTTTAGCCTAAACGCTATTTTTTTTTAAAGCTCAGCCAAGAGACTCCATTATAATTTTCAAATGTGTGTAACTTAAATTCTCATATGAAATACCACTATGCTTAAATTAGTCAAAACATTTTCCCCATCTACAACTCTATCTTTTCATTGCAATCATTTTCACAAAAGTGACTGCAGCTCACAGACCCTAAAAGGAGAAAATCCAGGGTAGGTTATCTGATCTAGTTCTGAAGACAGGATCTAGAGATTATTTAATATGAAATAGGTCACCTGAAATGAAGTGTTTCCTGAAAACAGCTTGGATCAGCCCAGTTTTCTACCACTGAACCATGCATTTGGTTTAAAAAACACAACAACTCTGGGGAATATCGGCTGCTTCCAACTGTGTTGAAGGTGTTAAAGAAAAGAGCATAAAAGTAAAAATGATCATCTGAGGCCTTTATAGTCTCTGCTCAAGAGACTAGAGTCTTCCATTCTTAACGAAACACCCAAATATCTTAATAATTGGGCAAAATCTAAATATCAGAGAGATAATTTTATCTTGAAGATTGTTAAATTATAATGGTGATTCACTACCTTGCCACGTCTCTGAGTCAAAAATTAGGTCTTTGTTTAGGAATCAATGGTACTCTGCAACTTGGAAATAGGAAGATTTTAGAAGACTCAAACACTGACTTTCTTGTGTGCAAAAAAAAGACGTATTGAGTTAAGACAAGTCTTTCCTTGCAAGGATACCTCTAATGCTCATACACCACCTCCCCTAACGTTAATATAGCTTCCAGGTCAGTAACCAGTGTCAGAGAGCAGCCCATGCAACTACAAATTCAATAGATGTCGAACACAGGGTCAAGCCTAGAATAAGAAGTCTTAGCTAATTAAGTATGCTTTGTTCCCCAAATTTATATTAACAAAAACTTGGATATGTCAGAGAATGCATTCTAAGTTCACTCAACCTAGGAGGGAGAAACATAATTTTAAATTAAGAGCTGAAGCATTCTTGTCCTAACAAAAAGCAAGGAAAACGAAATATCACACCACAGGAGGGATTTCACAAATTAGTGTCAACATCAAAACCTTAAAATAGGCAAGGAAAATGCAGATTTACAATGAACTCTTGTACTTGTTTTGTTCAGAGAAGAGATGGTTCTGAGAGAATGACAGTGAACTAACCCCAGCTGGTTTAATTGATGCTTTCAACTGCTGCTTCTGATCAACTCCTTCAGCTAGAATAAATTGATGAGGATTTTGGCATGTGGTATTAGAGATGGTTATTAATTTTTTCCTCTTATTTGCATTGTTCAATGTAGTAAATACTAGCTGTATAGGGCTACTTCAATTCAAATTAATTACAATGAAATATACTTAAATATTGCATTTTTTAGTCACTGTTGGTTCATTATTGAATATCTTCAGCTAAGATTTCCCATCTAAATACACTAAGAGGTGGCTTAGTTAACTGGTCGTCCACAAATATTGACGCTGATGTTAACTCCTGATATATTCTCTGCAAATAGAATATTCATGAGCCTCCTCCTGAAATCAGCAGCCTAGAGATAGTTTTATAAATTGGATACAAGTTGGAAATCTATATACTCTTTCAGTGTTTGAAATATTAGCTTCCCAGGGAAGAAAATCAAATTCATAAGCTATGTTAGGACGATTTAACTCAAGATGTTCAAAACTGAAATGACGTATTCTACAATATGTGATAAAACCACCCCCTAACAACTTAAAGCAAAACAGGGATTGACCTTAAAGACCTGCCTTTTCCTCATCCCCCAATCAGTTTTCAAATCTCGCATTTTATTTCAAAAGGTCCTTATCCCCCTAGTCTCTTGTTTCTAGACTCGGCACATATTTAAGTTTGTTACCTCTATCTACTGACATTTTTCTCTTCAAACGGTATCTATGCCTGCCAAATGTGAATATACAAAAAACAAATCAGAATGTGCCATTCTGATTTAAACTGCTTATTAGTTAAAACCCTCAAGATAACATCCGGGTTCTTGGCTGCAATGAGTCAAGCCTACTTACATCTTTTTTTGTCTTTGGCTGCACATTTCCTATCACATCACACTCCAGCAAAGCCAAGCTGTGCCGGCCTTCTACCCCATCTCCACTATTTTGCCCCGCGTCGCCGCGGCTTTTTGACCCTCATCACAGCGGCTCTTTTGCCCTTCGCCGCCGCGGCTTTTTGCCCCAAGCACCACCTCGGCTTTTCCCCCGCCGCCGCGGCTTTTTCCCCACCGCGGTTTTTTGCCCCCACCCGCCGCCTCGGGTTTATGCCCGCCACGGCTTTTAGTTCCCTGCCGCCGCGGCTTTTTGCCCGACCCGGCTTTTTGCCCCCCACCCCCCCCCGCCGCCGCCGCGGCTTTTTGCCCGACCTGGCTTTTTGCCCACCCCCGCTGCCGCGGCTTTTTCACCCCCGCCGCCGTGGCTTTTTCACCCCCGCTGCCGCGGCTTTTTCACCCCCGCCGCCGTGGCTTTTTCACCCCCGCTGCCGCGGCTTTTTCACCCCCGCCGCCGTGGCTTTTTCACCCCCGCCGCCGTGGCTTTTTGTCACCGCGGCTTTTTGCCCCCCCCGCCGCCGCCACGGCTTTCTGCCCGACCTGGCTTTTTGCCCGACCCGGCTTTTTGCCCCTCGCTGCCACGGCTTTTTGCCCCTCGCTGCCACGGCTTTTTGC
The DNA here is from genome assembly GCF_000001405.40 of Homo sapiens. Lineage (NCBI taxonomy): Eukaryota > Metazoa > Chordata > Mammalia > Primates > Hominidae > Homo > Homo sapiens. The sequence continues at coordinate 65,258,582 of NC_000009.12, read as the reverse complement.
CCCCCGCCGCCGCGGCTTTTTGCCCGACCTGGCTTTTTGCCCGACCCGGCTTTTTGCCCCTCGCTGCCACGGCTTTTTGCCCCTCGCTGCCGCGGCTTTTTCACCCCCGCCGCCGTGGCTTTTTGTCGCCGCGGCTTTTTGCCCCCCGCCGCCGCGTCTTTTTGCTCCCCCGCTATGGCGGCTTTTTGCGCCCCACGCCCCCCCGCCCCGTGCCGCGGTTATTTGCCCGCGGCGGCTTTTTGCCCCCCGCCCCCGTGGCTTTTTGCCCCATGGCCATCCTCAGAAGCGTGAGTGGAACAGAGTGAAGGGAAAGCTGTTTTCTTCAAAAGCTCAAAAATCTTGAACTTTCAAATAGGGATAAGTGTTATTTTTGCTCCAAGCACACATTTGAGAAATCTTCCATTTAGCGGATATGATGATAAACCCACATTTTTTGTTTTAATCTGAAAATGTATTTGTATGGTTCTTGGAAATATTTTTTTTGCATATAAAATTATAGTTTATCATCTTATTTCAAGTTTTATTTACCATTTGATAGTTACTCCTAAAATGTCATTGATTAAAGAATCATCTATTGCTCCAACTGCTCTTTACTAAAGGTAATTTGTCTTTTTAACCTCATCAGGCTCCTTTTAAGCTCTCAAACTGACCTTATATTTTTTTACAGATTGAATGCATTAAGTCCATTTATTATTTATGATGAATTTATTTATGTATTTATTTTCGCTATCACAAGTAGAAAAAGCCTATAAGTTGCTATGCCAAAAACCTGCCTCTAGATGGCAAACAAACCCCGCAATACACAAAAGAGAGCCAAATTCTTAGAAACCCTGGGAAAGGAAGAGGGCTACTGTCCCATTAACAACTTGGAGCCCTTAAGGCAAGAATGAGGTGGACCATCTGGAACATCTGGGAGGAGACACCAGGGTGCGGAGTAGTGGGGAACCTGCTCTGTGCTCTGAGACTGAAAGCCCAGCCTTGCCTCTCACCACTGCCTTGACTGTGTCCCCATCTGCTGTGAAGTGAATGGTGTCTTCTAAATTCATGCTGAGCCCTAATTGCTGAAAAGTGTAAGACATGCAATGGGGGGATTATGTGCATCTTCCTGACACCAACATGATGCTCAGGAAGGAGACTTCTTGTTTTCTCTTAGGATTCTTTTACTAACCAAGATTTTGCCTCTACTGCATATTTCCCTTTGCTGATTGTCCCTCCCTTTTGACAGAAGATGGCCCAGGGCATTCACTACTAAGTCTCAACCTCTTACCCAAAGCCCTCAGTCTAGTGTTGCTCTTTCCTTCATGCTATTTTTGTTTCTTTTCTTGTCATCATCTTGGCAATAAAATAGTCACTTTTTTCTTTCTACCTATTAAAGATGTTACCTTAGTTAATTACAGTGGTTTCCTTCAGAATGATAAATGGTCTTTCAAAATGATGTAAAGAGATCTAAATCCGTGTGCTCCAGAAGTTGAATGAAGCTCTGTCTAGCACGGGTGCCAGTGACTCTCCCAGAGTGCTCCATGCAGCTGGACCCACGGAGTCCCTCTGTGCTGTCATATCACCCACTGCCTTCTGTGAATGAGATATTCTGATTGGAATCCTGGTGGATGCTATTTGAGCCATGCCCCCACAACTCCTATGAAAGCCGAGGACCACAGGCCCCTGAAGACAATCACAGGTCTCTAGACTCACAGCTCATGACCGTCCTCTGCAGACACAGCTTCTCCCCGGATGGCTGAGTTTTGTCATTGGCTGTGTCCTTCCTTGTGCATGACAACAGGAGACATAGAAGGTCTGTAAGCAGCCCTGCAAGCCAGGTTCTGAGCAAGCCCTCCTGTGTGGGGCCCTCTTACCTGGACATAGGTGTGTAAACCAAAAATGAAACTCTAAGCTCCCTAACCAACTGAATGAACTCCTCCTCTCAGCCAAGGACACACCAAAATCAACCTGAAATACAATACAGTCCATGATCGGAACGGATGATTGGACATGCCTTAACTTACCCTCTTCCCTTTAAAATTCAGGCAGAACTGACCAGCTTTTAATATGAAGACAGAGACCTTGAGACTGACAAAGAAAACTCTTTATAGCAATAAGATACCAATGTGACAGATACCACGTCCTAAGAGAAATCAAAGTATTTTCCCCAAGATATTGTTATTTAATGTATTTAAAAATGCCTCTGCAAAGCTGGTTTTTGTGGGAGAAATCTAAATTCTGTAGAGATTCCTTTTTAAGTCTCTTTCCTGACCCAGAGAGATTTAACTAAGAGTTTGGCACCTTTTAAGTCTACTAAGAAACAATTACAATCTATTCTCTCTGAAGCCTGCTACCTGGAGGCTTCATCTGCATGATGCAACCTTGGCTCCAAAACCCTTTTTCTAAACCCAGAAACTCCCTTGTGTTGATTACAGGTCATTAGATAAACTCTTTCAACCACCTATGAAATCTTTGAATCCACCTATGACCTGGAAGTCCCCAATATCCCCCCTCCTTCGGGCTGTCCTGCCTTTCAATATCAAAGCAATGTACAGCTTACACGTATTGATTGATATCTTATGTCTCCTTAAAACGTGTAAAACCAACCTGTAGCCCGACGACCTTTGACACACGTTCTCAAGACCTCCTGAGGCTGTTTCACTGATATTTCTTTAACTTTGACCAAATAAATTTCTAAACTGATTGAGACTTTTCTCAGATACTTATTTGTTTATAGGTATCACAGGATACACTTAAGGAATTGAAGAGATTTATGACATTGAGAAAAGGAGGAAGCCAGGGTGTGTGGAGAGAGAGAGAGAGAGAGAGAGAGAGAGAGATTGTGATGTATGTACAGGACTAACACTGAGACCTGGTTATGTAATGGTGTAGTAATGAGTATCATCCCCAAATAGTGAGGTTTCATTCCAAGAAGACTATGCATGTATCTCATTTGGGAAAACAGCTTTTGCAGGTGTAAATTAAGGAGCTTGAAACAGGGAGATGGTCTTAGATTAATCAACTGGGACTTAAATGCAAACTCAAGTGTCCTAATAAAAACAAGAGGTAGAGAGACATTTAGCATAGACTGAAGTGGAGAAGGCAGTGTGAACACAGAGACAGAGATTGCAGTGATGTGTCCACATCCCGGGAGAGAGAAGCCACCAGAAGCTGGAAGAGCTAAATCAGACTGCTCCCTAGAGCTTCAGAAGGAGCCAGAACTGATGACTCCAAGATCTTAGCCCAGTGAAACTGATCTGGACTTCTGAACTATGAGAGATTCCATTCCTGTTGTTTGAAGCTACCACATTTTTGAGAACTTGTTACAGTAGCCCGAGGACACTAACACAAATGGGGCTCCGGGAAAATCCAGACTAAAGGTGTTGTGTTGGTTTGCAATCTCCTTGCTTAACTTTCTGATACTAGACGTAAATAGATTGGTGAAAAATTTTGTGAATGAAGAAATGTACATGAAACCTACAGTGTACAGAGAAGCATCTGTTAGTTATAAGATAAATATTGATAATTTTAGTTGAAAATGACATATGACTGTTAATATCTCACATAACATTCTGAGTTACTCAAGAATGCATAAAAGGGGCACTAGATACTCTTCTCATGTATGTGTGTGTGTCTGTCTATACATGTATGTACACTTCATGGTGCATCAGCTGGCAGAACCCTCAGGACACCCCTTCACATCCTCAGTGCCCCATTTCACACATGAGGAAACTGTTCATGACAGCACATGGCTGATTTGCATAAAAGTCACTTGGTCAGCAGTTGTTGAAGCTGAACTTGGAATCTAGGTCTATCTGACCTTAACTATGTTCCTTCCACAGAGCCACGTTCATTCCATAGAGGAACCCACCACCTATAAAACCAGAAAAGAGACAAAGCCAGAAGTGCAGGGTGGATTTCTTAACACAAGCTCACTGCGACCTCTACTCCTCATCACGCTGACACTAAGCTTAAACCCAGACCCTTCTACAGTTTTGTCTACAAAGCACAATTTGCCCAAAGCCTTTACAAACACCAACAGCCTTTCTTTCAGATATGGCAGCAGGGTCACATCTTACACGGCCCTGACCACATTTTGTCTCCTCTGCCATCCCCATCTCTCTGACTCAGTCTTCGCTTGCAGCCATAAAAAAGGATGAGTTCATGTCCTTTGTAGGGACATGGATGAAGCTGGAAACCATCATTCTCAGCAAACTATCGCAAGGACAAAGAAACCAATCACTGCATGTTCTCACTCACAGGTGGGAATTGAACAATGAGAACACATGGACACAGGAAGGGGAACATCACACACCAGGGCCTGTCGTGGGGTGGGGGGAGGGGGGGGAGGGATAGGATTAGGAGGTACACCTAATGTAAATGATGAGTTAATGGGTGCAGCACACCAACATGGCTCATGTATACATATGTAACAAACCTGCACGTTGTGCACATGTACCCTAGAACTTAAAGAACAATAATAATAATAATAATAATAATAATGGGTCTTGTACATCTAATTTGCCCTACAAATGTTAAAACAGCAAACCCACATCCCCTTCCTCTTCTCATGTGCTGTGAGGGATGACCTCCAGGCTCTCAGATACCAAGATTGTACAAGACCTAACCCAGAGAATTACTCAAGACACTTTCTACGTAAGAAGAATTGTGGTGCTAGCTCTCCTCATAGAAAAATGTTTTCTGTCTCTTGTTGAAATTGACAGCAAACACAAAAACACAGAACTATTTGGGAGAACAGAGGACAGTGATACACTAGGGAAGTAAAACACACCCCTTCCCCTTGCATTGGTTTCCTGTTGCTGCCGTAACAAATTACCACAACCTTACTGCTCCCCATAACACAAGTGTATTATCTTACATTTCTGGAGGTCAGAAGTCTCAATGAAGTAAAATCAAGGAGTAATAGGGCTCTATTCATTCTAGGCTTCAAGAGAGAGAATCCAATATCGAGCATTCCATCTTTCTGATGTTCCCACATTCCTAGCAGCATGGCCCCTTCCTCCATCACTCCAGTTTCCCTGTCCGTTGTCCCAGGTCCTCTCTGGCTGTTACCTTCCTCCCTCCCTATTATAAGGACCCTTGTGATTATGATGGTCTCACCCAGATCATTCAGGATACTCTCCTGACCCCCAAATTCTCAACCATGTCTGCCAAGTTATTTTTGACATATTCATAAGTAATGATCATAGATTCCAGATATTAGGACAATGATGTCTTTAGTGGGTGTATTATTCATTCCACAAACAACCCTCATCATCCACACAATGGTCTTCCCCTAAGGTAGAATAAAAATATCACAAGGCAGATTTACGAGGCGATCGACCTAGAAAAAACCTGAGAATCTAGGACTGTCTGATGTGTGGATGTCAAATCCTGGGAGATTCTGAGTCTCTGCTCTATGTGGACTCTATGTTGTGTAGCCATTTGTGGAAGGCTTCTGTGATTTTGTGACCTAGAGAAAATGAATCTCTGCTAAAATCAAATCTAAGAAAGATTGGCAAAGGGAATTTAAAGATTTCCTAAATTTTTGGAATTTCCCTATGCATTAAAGCATGAGAAGTGGCAATAATTCAAACCAACGATGCCCTCCAAGAATGAGGATTTTTCCAATGCATTAGGTTGGGTCCCCTCAGTGAGAAGGATGCCAAAGATTCGCATGCAGGCAGTATATTTACAAAGTGCGGGAAACAAGCAAATGAGCAAGGGAGGGGAGGAGGGAAAGGGAAAGTGAAAGGTGCCTCAGAAGGAGCCACCTCTGAGGATGACGACAGCTCAAGCCCACATAGAAACACAGGAAAAATGCCTCTGTTATTCCACCTGAGAGGTGAGGGAGCTGCGGGATGTGTACACCTCCCTTGTCATCACTGATTGACAGCCGTCCTAGGGGATGCTAATTCCAGGCCATGAGGTCTGCCTCATTTGCAGCCTGAGCTGCTTCCCCAGGTTCAGACAGAGCAGTGAAGGGGAGAAAGGGCCATAGAGAGTCAGCTGAAGTATAATGACTAGAATCCCCAAGGCGTAGTAACAATGACTGCTAAAATTATGCACAAAGAAAAAGCGCATTTGAATCCAGAGATGTATCTCTCTGAATCTGGATATATGGATCCTGGCAGCCTGTTCAGTAGCCATTTCCCAGAAATCCAGTTCTCTGGAAAAGCAGCAGGAGGTTTGTGCACAGGCTGCACTACCTTGGTCTGGCCACTGGTAGTCGTGCATGAGAACTACTCCCTGGAGTATTTCTCAGTCCACTGACACTGATGTAATTGGCTCCACTTCCCCTGCTGTTGAGCCAGGCCGACACGCCCTGGGCAAAGGCATCTGTGTGAAGTATTGAGGTTCAAATCAGTGCTTAAGATATGTTTGGAGGCAAAATACTTTTTCATCTACATGGGCAGTGTCTTGGCAGAAGATGGAGATTCTCTCTAAATGGATGTGAGACAGGGTGGCTGGCATCTGGGTCAGGATGATGCCCTGGTGCATGGCAAGAACATGCATTGGGCAGCAGCTGTCCTCGCTAAGCAGAGAGGTTCACTGACCTGGCTTTTCCCCCCTCACCTGCTCTCCAGAAAGCCAGACTCTAGGGCAGATGCTCCTGAGACCCCAGGAACAGGCTGGTGGGGAGCGCAGCTCAGAGCATTACTCAGGGGATGTGGCCTTTGTCATCCTACTTTGAAACAATTGATTATTTGAGCCTAGATTGATAGAGGGCTTCAAGTTGATTTTAATCCTGGCTCCTATAGTCCGCGAGTGAAACAGAGATTTTGAAATAATGAGACCTGGTATTACTAGTCAGCTCTCCATGCTGGAGAAACATAAGAAATTATACCAAAGGCAGGAAAGGGGATAGAATATGGGGATCATCACGCCAAGAATAAGGTGCAGCCCATTTAGCCCCTAGATCTTAAAGAGACCCATAGCTCTGGATAATGGCAGATCTATGCGTGACACATTATCATCTTTGTGCATCTTCAGAGAATTGTTTTTCCTTTTACTCCTAGGAACAATGTCTTAAGTTTGTTAGTAAATTCTATTGAATTTATTAAAGATGCTTCTGATAAATTCTTTTTATATTCATTTCAAAAAAGAAGCAATTTCACACTGACAGAGACATTGTTATTATAGCACTAAATACTTTTACACTCATCAAATTCCTTTGAGACTAACTGAAATTTCTGACAGCCCCACACTCTATAACTTTATTGTAAATTTTCTGCCAAAAATGATGCTTTCCTATACACTCTTAATACAAGTATAAATATATTATTTAATCTAGTCTTAGGTTGATTTAAAATTTTGAAAATTCACTCCAAAAATATGTTCTGTAACCATATGGCCACCAATGAGAAGTGTACTCTTTCAAGGTAAATCTGTGCTGCCCTGGTCTGACCTGGGACTCTGGGGATACTGCGCCCGTGTGCTGAGTTACTGAGATGAGCCAGCCCTGCAGCTGTGCTCAGCCTGCCCCATCCCCTGCTGATTTGCCTGTTCCTAGAGCACAGCCCCCTGCCCTGAAGACTTCTTATAGGCTGGCCACACCCGGTGCAGGAGTCAGCCCCAGTCAGGACACAGCACGGACGTGAGGGCCCCCACTCAGCTCCTGGGGCTCCTGGGGCTCCTGGGGCTCTGGCTGCCAGGTAAGGAAGGAGAACACTAGGATTATACTCGGTCAGTGTGCTCAGTACTGTCTGGAACTTCAGGGAAGTCATCTGATAACATGATTAATTGCAAGAATATTTGTTTTTATGTTTCTAACTTCAGGTGTCAGATGTGACATCCAGATGACCCAGTCTCCATCCTCCCTGTCTGCATCTGTAGGAGGCAGAGTCACCATCACTTGCCGGGTGAGTCAGGGCATTAGCAATAATTTAAATTGGTATCAGCAGAAACCAAGGAAAACTCCTAAGCTCCTGATCTATGCTGCATCCAGTCTGCAAAGTGGGATTCCCTCTCGGTTCAGTGACAGTGGATCTGGGACAGATTACACTCTCACCATCAGCAGCCTGCAGCCTGAAGATTTTGCAACCTATTACTGTCAACAGAGTGACAGTAACCCTCCCACAGTGTTACAAGTCATAACATAAACCCCAAGGAAGCAGATGTGTGAGGCTGGGCTGCCCCAATGCTCCTTCTGGTGCCTCTATCTGCTGAGGGAAGTTCTCAAACTCAGTCAGGTTTGGAAAGTCATCGGGAGATTTTCCTAGAGGAGGCCAGGGAGGTTCCTCTGAACCCTAAGCCTCTTTCGCCCTCATCCCCAGCAGAAAAGACGTGACAATGCCTGTCCTGACTGAATAAAGAAGAGAGATAAGTCCAGCTGAGGAGTCTGTGTTATGGGATAATCGGAATTTGTACAGCAAAAGAGAAGCTATTCTCAGTATTTCAAGGAGAAATTATTCAAGTTGAATAAATTAGAGTCTAAACCACAGTCTTTCCGAAGCCTATGGAGTGTTATTCATGAAGCAGGTACTAGACACAGGGGATTCTCAGGTGCTACTTCAGAAGCCAGGATGCACCTGCCCCTGGTGGTATGTGCTGAACACCGTGTGATGATCCTCAGTCCTGTCTGGGAAGCCCAGGGCTGGGGGTGCTGATGCTCTCAGCTGCCTGCAGCACATCTCCAGGTGATTCTCCAGTCCACACCTAACTGCATGTGTTTTACTTCAGGTGTCAGTGTACATGAATCCACCACTCTGACTTCCCAATCTCATGACAGTAATTAGTTGTAACTTATTGTAACCTCATGGAGCAACTCTAAAGAAACCATAGAGAGAAAAGGAGTTTTGGAAAATGTGCTCCCGGAAGTGATAGTAATGATGGGGAATTGACAGCTGACGGGGAAGTAAGGTGACTCTTTCCACAAGGCTCAACATTTTGCCAGTTATGAATTGTTGCAAAATACATTTGAATGTGCTTTCAAGTATTACCAGTTTGGGGTCATAGCTGAAAAACTTTATTAAGTCACAGATAAAATGGGAAAATCAGGAATATTTTATATTGTATGAAATATACAATAACACTGTGTGTGATGGCTCAGGTCTGTAATCCTGTGATAGTTAATACTGATTGTCAACTTGATTACATTGAAGGATGTAAGCATTGCTCCTGGGTGTGTCTGTGAGGGTGTTGCCAAAGGAGATTAATATTTGAGTCAGTAGTCTGGGGAAGGCAGACCCCCTACTTAATCTATGGGCACCATTTAATCAGCTGCCAGTGAATATAAAGCAGGCAGAAAAAAGTGAAAAATTGAGTCTGGCCCAGCCTCCCAGCCTACATCTCTCTCCCGTGCTGGATGCTTCCTACCCTTGAACATCGGACTCCAAGTTCTTTAGTTTTGAGGCTCGAGCTAGCTCTCCTTACTCCTCACTCCTCATGCCTGCAGACAGCCTACTGTGGGACCTTGTGATCCTGTAAGTTAATATGTAATAAACCCATATATATATATATATATTGAACTTATTAGTTCTGTCCCTCTAGAGAACCCTCATTAATACAGATTTTGGTACCAGGAATGGTTCTGCAGGATCAGAATATTAAGGCTGGAGTTCTTTTGTTGGTTTTGGGGTTTCTGGATTTGGCTGCTAAATATGATTAGATCCCAAAATGCTAAGGACTCTACTTTTAATAGTGTAGAGAATATTGACAGTTCTTGGCATGAAAGGTTTAAAGAGCTATGCAAAACAAATTCATTTGACACTAATGAATCATCGCTCATGAGAGGCAAGGAGTTTAGTGACTCTGTACCTAATACCCTTGACAAACACCTTGCAAAATAGATTTGTGAGGACAGCACCTGCATCTTTGAAGAGCCCTGTAAAGGCTCTTCTCTGTATGTCAGATCTAATGGTGAGAACTGCAGTCACTCAGTTACAAAAGTTAAATACAATTTGGAATAATTGGATCCTGAAGTGGCAGGGGCCAAGTGGTAGCACTCAACCCTCAAAGGCACGGTGGGCGTAGCTACCGTAATGGGCAGAAAAGACAAAGCAGCAATCTGAACAGTCTGACTCACGTAGAGCTCTGGCATTGGCTAACTAATCACAGTGTTCCTGGAAGTGAAACTGACAGGAAGACTAATGCATTCCTACTTAATTTATGTAAGGAGGAAACTTAAGGTCAAACAGATAAAAGACTAACTGGAATCATAAAAACAGAGATTCATGGCCCCTCAATCAATTTCCAGCCTTGAGCCAGTTTACAGACCCAGAACCCCTTGAATGAAGGGGAGGCTGGGTCCCCCTGAGGTGTCCATGGCAGATAGGAATGCTGCTTTGAGGCTTTGGCAAGCCTCCATAGGTGAATCATGGTGGAGGCCTCTAGTATTTTGCAGCAAGGACCGGTCATCTTCTCCAGTTAACTACTCTCCTTTTGAGAGACAGCTCTTGTCCTATACTGGGCTTTTGTGGAAACTGAACATTTGACTATGAGTCAACAAGTCACCATGCGACCTGAACTGCCTATCGTGAACTGGGTGCTTTCTGACTCATGTAGCCATAAAGTGGGTCATGCACAGCAGCATTCCATCATCAAATGGAAATGGTGTATAAGTGATTGGGCTCAAGCAGGTCCTGGGGGGCACAAGTAAGTTACATGAGGAAGTGGCTCAAATGCCCACGGTCTCTACTCTTGCCACCCTGCCTTCTCTCCCATGGCCTGCACTGATGACCTCATGGGGACTTGCCTTTGAGCAGTTGACACAGGAAGGGAGGACTAGGGCCTGGTTCACAGATGGTTCTCCACAATAGGCAGGTACTGCCCAAAAGTGGACAGCTGAAGCACTACAGCCCCTTTCTAGGACATCCCTGAAGGACAGTGGTGAAGGACAATCTTCCCAGTGGGCAGAACATTGAGCAGTGCACCTGATTGTGCACTTTGCATGGAAGGAGAAATTTCCAGATGTGCGGTTATATACTGATTCATGGGCTGTAGCCAATGGTTTGGCTGGATGGTCAGGGACTTGGAAGAAGCATGATTGGAAAATTGGTGACAAAGAAACTTGGAGAAAGAGTATGTAGATGGACCTCTCTGAGTGGTCAAAAACTGAAGATATTTGTACCCTGTGTGAGTGTTGACCAACAAGTGACTTCAGCAGAGGAGGATTTTGATAATCAAGTGGATAAGATGACCCGTTCTGTGGATACCACTCAGCCTCTTTCCTCAGACACCCCTGTCATTGTCCAATAAGCCCATGAACATAGTGGCCATGGTGGCAGGGATGGAGGTTATGCATGGATTCAGCAATGTGGACTTCCACTCACCAAGGCTGAACTGTCTGTGGCCACTGCTGAGTGCCCAATTTGCCAGCAGCAGCAGCAGAGACTAACAGTGAACCCTTTGTATGGCATCATTTCCTGGGGTGATCGACCAGCTACCCGGTAGCAGGTTGATCATATTGGAACTCTTCCACCATGGAAAGGAGAGAGGTTTGTCCTCATTGGAACAGGCACTTACTCAGGATATGGGTTTGCCTACCTGCATGCAATGCTTCTGCCAAGACTACCATTTATGGACTCAAGGAATGCCTTATCCACTATCACGGTATTCCACACAGCATTACCTTTGACCAAGCACTCACTTTACAGGTAAAGAAGTGAGGCAGTGGGCTCATGCTCACGGAATTCACTGGTCTTACCATATTCCCCATCTTCCTGAAGCAGCTGGATTGATAGAATGGTGGGACGGCCTTTTGAGGTCGCGATTACAACATCAACTAGGTTGCAATACTTTGCCGGGCCGGGGCACCATACTCCAGAAGACCATGTGTGCTCTGAATCAGCGCCCAATGTATGGTATTGTTTCTCCCATAGCCAGGATTCACAGATCCAGGATTCAAGGGGTGGATGTGAAAGTGGAACCACTCACTATGATGCACTAGCAAAATGTTTGCTTTCTGTTCCCACGACATTAGGTTCTGCTTTACTAGTCATCTTAACTCCAGAGGGAAGAACGCTGCTACCAGGAGACACAATAACGATTCCATTAAACTGGAAGTTAAGATGGCCACTTGGATGCTTTGGGGTCCTCCTACCTTTAAGTCAACAAGCTAAGAATGGAGTTACAGTGTTGGTGGCAGTGATTGACCCAGACTATCAAGATGAAGTCAGTCCGCTACTCCACAATGGAAGTGAGGAAGAGTATGCATGGAATATAGGAGATCCATTAGGGCGTCTCTTGGTATTATCATGCACTCTGATTAAGGTAAATGGGAAACTATACCCAATCCAGGTAGGACTACAAACGGTCCAGATCCTCTCCGGGTCACGACCTTCTGAGGTGCTTGCTGAAGGCAAAGGGAATACAGAATGAATAGTGGAAGAAAGTAGTTATCAATACCAGCTACAACCACCTGACCAGCTGCAGAAATGAGGACTGGAACTATCATGAGTATTTCCTTCTTTTGTTAGAAACATGTTTGTGCATGTATGCACTTGTACTAAGAAAATATCTTCATTTCATTTCCCTTTTCTTTATCAGGTGACATAGATTTGCTGACCTCATATCAGCATTTAAGTATTGTTTACTTTATGTAAGAGTATTTGGGTTGGGGATGGGTGCATTTCCAGTTGTAGGAAGGATAGTTTATTATGTTAGGGGTAATTATGACCTTACTATTGTCTGTATTTTAAGATTATGTATGATCTCAGGAGATGTGTGTGGGTTCAAGTTCACAAGGGGTGGGCTTGTGATGGTTAATAACGAGTGTCAACTTGATTGGATTGAAGGATGTAAAGTATTCATCCTGGGTGTGTCTGTGAGGGTGTTGCCAAAAAAAATTAACATGTGAGTCAGTGGGCTGGGAAAGGCAGACCCACCCTTAATCTTTGTGGGCACAATCCAATCAGCTGCCAACCCAGCCATACTATAAGCAGGCAGAAAAATGTGAAAAGAGACGGGCCTCACCTCCCAGCCTACATCTTTCTCCCATGCTGGATGCTTCTTGCCCTCGAACATGGACTCCAAGTTCTTCAGTTTTGGAACTCTGGCTGGCTCTTTTTGCTCCTCATCCAGCAGATGGCCTATTGTGAGACTTGGTGATTGTGTGAGTTAATACTTAATAAACTTCCTGTATTAGCCAGTGACATCTAGAGGGACAGAACTAACAGGATATATACATATATATATACATACGCACACACATACATATATATGCACACACACACACATATATATATTTATTTATAAAGGGGAGTTTATTAACTTACAGGATCATAAGTTACACAATGGGCTGTCTGCAAACTGATGAGAAAGGAGAGCCATGGGGTCCAATGTTTGAGGGCAGGAAGAAACCAGCATGGGAGAAAGATGTAGGCTGGGAAGCTAGGCCAGTCTCTCCTTTTCAAATTTTTCTGCCTGCTTTATATTTGCTGGCAGCAGATTAGATTGTGCCCACCAGATTAAGGGTGGGTCTGCCTTCCCCAGCCCACTGACTCAAATGTTAATCTCTTTTGGCAACACTCTCACAGACACACCCTGGATCAATACTTCATATCCCTCAATCCTATCAAGTTGACACTCATTATTAACCATCTCACTCCCCTTCATATATATATGTATATAGTCCTTTAATTCTGTCAGTCTAGAGAACCCTGACTAATACATCTACACTTCTGATGATCTATTTCTTTTATTTTAGGTCATTTATTTCCCCTGGGTTGCCTACACTCGCTTCTTCCCACTCCCCTATGAAGGACAATATAAGCCTCTGGACCTCACTAGGTCAGGGCATGTCCCTGCTTGCACTATCCATGACACTTTTCTCTTTTACTCTTTAGCAATGAGGGAATGTCATCCTTACCCAGATGCCAGCCACCTGTCTCACATCCAGGACAGAGAGTCTCCATCTCCTCTCCAGCAAATACCTATGTATGTGGGCATGGTGGCATGCCCCTGTGATCCCAGCTACTCCATAGGCTTAGAGGGGAGAATCACTTGTGCTTGAGAATTCAAGGTTGCAAGGAGCCATGATCACACCACTGCACTTCATGCTGGGCAACTGAGTGAGACCCTGTGATTTTTCCCCTACATTTTACAGAATTTTTTTTTGCCTCTTTCTTCTATTAATTTATGTTTTGTCCATTCATTTTCTGCAAACCTTCAGAGGGCAAATAGGAAGTTTCCCTTTTTAACGTGGTGGCTCATGCCTGTAATCCCAGCACTTTGGGAGGCCGAGGTGAGCAGATCACCTGAGGTTGGGAGTTCGAGACTAGCCTGACCAACATAGAGAAACCCCGCCTCCACTAAAAAAAATACAAAATTAGCAGGGTGTGGTGGTGTGCACCTGTGATCCCAGCTACTCAGGAGGCTGAGGCAAGAGAATTGCTTGGACCTGGGAGGCGAAGGTTGCAGTGAGCCCAGATTGTGCCACTACACTCCAGCCTGGGTGACAAGAGCGAAACTCCATCTCAAAAAAAAAAAGAAACAAAAACAAACAAAGAAAAAAACACCTACTGCCTCACTGAATTAAAGGTGTGTTCAGCAGTTTCTTTGTTATTTCGAAGAGTGTCATCTGCTTCAGCAGGGTCAGTTTTTAATGTATTTGTTTTGTTTCTTTTTTCTCTGTCTGGTGTTGTTTTCTATTTTATTATAATTTTTTAAATTTGAGGGATGAGGTTTTCATAGCACTGAATATCAAACAATGAATCCGCATGAATGATTCACCTAATTTCCTTGGTTTTAGTCCTCTATACAGGTTTTATATAGCAAAAGAACCATTTAAAGACTTGGGTTACAAATGTATTTTATTTTACCTCTGGCATGCCTTGGGCTGAGAAAGCATTATATGGTGACACAGTATTTGTAACATTCTCATAGCCATCTGGCGGTGGTTCAAGGTATGACATTTTGAAAATCTAGCAAGAATTAAAATATGTCAAGTTAGAGATAAAAATTCCAGATTATTATTAAGATATAATTCATTTTGCCCCAAGTATATACTTCAGATTAAGCATCCTGGAACTAGGTTCTATAATTAAATAGATAAATTACACTGACAACAATGAGAAAGAGCCTTATCATTATTATTGTCTTCCTAATAATAGAAACTTTTATAAATGCATGCAATCCCAGGTAACCAAAAGTTTCCTTATAAAGTGTAACAGCAGAGCTTCAAAGGTGGCATTTGGCAAGCCTCTTTTTTTGACTATGCCTTTTCAGCTTCCTTTGTGGGCTCCTTTTCTTTCATCTTTATTTAAATAATATTTCCCTATGTTTTATCCCCAGCCCATTGCTTGCCTCTGTACTGCCTCCCTGTGAGACTTCATTAAGTATCAGAATTTTACCAATAGCTCATATGCTTATGATGCTTACCTTTTCAGATTCGTATATTTAAATGTTTTGTGATTATTTCATCCTGGATGTCCAAACTCAACATGTTAAAATTCAAATTTATCATCTCTCACCCCGGGCCTGCTTTTGGTCTGCATTTCCTACCTCTATTAATAGCTTCAGTTATTAGCCACCGACACCAGACAGTCTCGGAGTCATCCTGAACTCTATCTTCCCCTCCTTCCCCAAGTCAATCACTAATCAAGTCCTGCTAATACATTTCCTTACTATTTCTGAAATCCATCCCTCTTCCTCATTCCTACTAACATCCTAATTTAAAACTTTATTATCTTTTACCTGGACTATTGTCTTAAGACAACAACTTTAACCCGTTGCTTAGCCTAGGTGTAATCCACAGAGGATCTTGTCTGTCTAAGATGCCCCTCTAGCCACATCCTTCCCCTGCTCAGATCTTGTCATTGGCTCCCATGAACTGAAGTTGAAGTTTAAGCTCCTTAGGACAGCATACACGCCCTTCTATGATCTGTTCCCAGAACATATTTACTGGTTTATCTCATATCATGGCCCACTTTGTATTTTACACTTTTGAAATACAGAAAATCATTACATTCTCCCAATAATACTAAGCTAGTATATGCCTAAAAGCCTTTGCCAATATTTTGTCTTTTGTTGAGAATTCTCTTAGCTTATTTTGTCACGTGGTTAACTCCTTATGTCCTTTCACGACTCACATGTCAAGAATTCAGGAAACCTTCTCTAACTCCCAGGCTGGGCTGAGTGACCCTTTTCTGGGTAAATAATGAACTCTAATCATACTCTTCATAGCACTTACCATACTAATTTGAAGTCTGAAGTATTCCATTTTCTGCCTCAGTTTACTTAGGCAAAGGAACCATGTCCTAGTCTCATTCTGGCCTCAGGACTTCAGCCTGGGCGACAGTGGGAGACTGTGTGTCAAAAAAAAAAAATTGCCAATGATTGAAGCCTAATACTGAAGATTCTGGTTTATTAATAATTAGTCTGTTGCTGGGTGTTAATTGAGCTCCCCAAGTGATTACTCATGTAGGACTTCAAAACGATAATTTAGAACCTTGTGACTAAAAATCTGGGCAAAAATAAGCAGCATCAGTATCACCTGGGAGCAGCTTCAGGTCTCACTTTAGATTTACTCTGAATCTAAATATTATATTTTTATTAAAAAAATTAAGAACAGATGACAAGCTTCAACTACATCTAAATTCTTTAGATTTACTTTAAAAGAATCAACATTTTGACACAATACCAAAGTGAACTAAATTCGCTTTTTTTTTTTTTTTTTGAGACAGAGTCTTGCTCTGTTGCCCAGGCTGGAGCGCAGTGGTGCAATCTCGGCTCACTGCAACTTCCACCTCTCCAGTTCAAGCGATTATCTTGCCTCGGCCTCCAAAGTAGCTGGGATTACAGGCACATGCCATCATGCCCGGCTAATTTTTGTATTTTTAGTAGAGACAGGGTTTCACAATGTTGGGTCAGCTGGTCTCGAACTCCTGACCTCAAGTGATCTGTCTGCCTCGGCCTTCCAAAGGCTGAGATTATAGACATGGGCCACCATGCCCAGCCTAAATTTGCTTTAATTTGGAGAAGTACTGGTCTAGAAAACACAAATTCCAAGGAGACTCAGGTTCTTAAGTTGATTTCTTGAGTACAAATTCTTCAAATGCATTCTCCAAGATTAATTTTTTTTTTTACTTTTTAAATTGACAAAGATTATACATATTCATGGCTATATGGGGATGTTTCAGTACATGTAGATGGTGATCAGATCAGGGTAATTAGCATATCTATCATCTCAAACATTTATTATTTCTTTGTGTTGGGAACATTCAAACTACTCCTAGGTATTTTAAACTACATAATATAGTATTGTTAACTATAGTCATCTACAGTACTATAGAACACTAGAACTTATTACTCCTACCTAGCTGTAATTTTGTATCCATTAACAAATCTCTTACCATTCCTCCTTTCTCCCTACCCTTTTCAGCCTGCAGTATCCTCTGTTCTACTTTTTACTTCTATGAGATCAACTTTTCTTTAGCTTCTGCGTGAGTGAGAACATGTGGTGTTGAAATTTCTATTCCTGGCTTATTTTGCTTAACATAATATCCTCCAGTTCCATCCATGTTGCTGAGAATGACAGGGTTTTATTTATTCTTTTTTATGGCTAAATAGCATTCCTTGGTGTATATATACCGTATTTTAAAAATCCATTCATCTGTTGTTGGAAATCTAGGTTGATTCCATATCTTGGCTATTGTGAACACTGTTGCAATAAACATGGGGATGCAGATGTCTCTGCAATATAATGCTTTTCTTTCCTTTGGATAAATTCCCAGTAGTGGGATTGCTTGAGGTGTTTCAATACTGTTCTCCATACTGGCTGCTCTAATTTACATTCCTACCAACAGTGCATAAGAGTTCCTTTTTCTCCAGCTACTCAGGAGGCTGAGGGAGGAGAACTATTTGAACCCTAGAAGCAGAGGGAGCCAGATTACACCACCACTGCACTCCAGCCTGGACGGAGAGTGAGATTCTGTCAAAAAAAAAAGTCCCTTTTCTTCACGTCTTTGTCAGCATTTGTTATTTTTGTCTCTTCTATAATAGCCATCCTAACTGAAGTAAGATGATGCCTCACTGTGGCTTTGATTAGCATTTCCTTGCTGATTAGTGGTGTTGAACATTTTTTCATATATTTGTTGGTCATTTGTATGTCTTCTTTTGAGAAATGTCTGTTCAGAGCATTTGTTTATATTTAATTAGATTGTTGTGCTTCTTTGCTGTTGATATGTTTGAATTCCTTGTATATTCTTGATATTAATTTCCTGCCAGATGAGTTTATACTTTCTCCCATTCTGTAAGTTGTCTTTTCACTCACTTTCTTATTTCCTTTGCTGTGCAGAAGATTTTTAGCTTGATGTGATCCTATTTGTTTATTTTTTCTTTTGTTGCCTGTGCTTTTGATGCCTTATTCATAAAATATTTTCCCAGAGCAATGTCCTGAAGGATCTCCCCTATGTTTTCTTCTAGTAGCTTTACCATTTTGGGTCTTATATTTGGGTATTTGAGATACTTTGAGTTGATCTTTGTATAGGGTGAGAGGCAGAGGTCTAGTTTCATTCTTCTGCATATGGATATCCAGTTTTTCCAGCACCATTTATTGAAGAGACTATCCTTTCCCCAATGAGTGTTCTTGGCATCTTTGTAAAAAATCCGTTGGCTGAGATATGTGGATTTTCTGGGTTCTTTATTCTATTCCATAGGTCTATGTGTCTGTTTTTATGCCAATACCATGATGTTTTGGTTACTACAGTTTTGTAGTGTATTCTGAGGTCTGGTAGCATGATACATCCAGCTTTGTTCTTTTTGCTTAGGATGGCTTTGGCTATTCAGGATACTTTTTGATTCCATAAAATCTCTTTGGATTTTTTTTTAATTTTGTGAAGAATGTTCATAGGTATTTTGATAGAGATTGCATTGAATCTGTAGGTTGCTTTTGAGTAGTACTGTCACTTTAACAACATTCATATTTCTGATCCATGAGTATGAATGTCTTTTCATTTGTTTGTATCCTCTTCAATTTCTTTCATTAGTGTTTTGTAGTTTTCATTTTACCTCCTTAGTTACATTTATGTCTGGGTTTTTTTTTTTTGGTAACTATTGTAAATGGGTTTGCCTTCTTAATTTCTTTTTCAGCAAGTTTGTTGTTCATATATAAAAATGCAACCAATCTTCATGTATTAGTTTTGTGTCTTGCAACTTCACTGAATTTGTTTGTTCTAAAAGTTTTCTGGTAGTCTTCAGGTTTTCCTATATATAAGATCATGTCATCTGCAAATAGGAACAATTTGATGTCCTCCTTTCCGATTTGAATGCCCTTTATTTCTTTCTCTTGTCTAATTACTCTTGATAGGACTTCACATTTATATACTTTGAATATTTAAAATGTTTACATAAATGTCAGAATCAACTTTCATTTTTCATAGAAAAAGAAGATCCTACTTGTTTTGTAGTTTTAATATTAATCAATTATTATTATCTGAGACAAATTATTAACAAACCATCTATTAAAATATTTCACCACAAATAAATTCCATAAGGAAAATATCTACAACTGTTTTTATGAAAGAAAAAAAGGCTTCTCTACAGTTGCTTAGGCCTGGTGCCATGGCACACACCTATAAATCCCAGCGCTGTGGGAGGCCATGGCAAGAGGATCCTTTGAGCCCAGGAGTTTGAGACCAGCATGGACAACAAAGTGAGACCTCATCTCTACAAAAAATAAAAAAGAAATTAGCTGGCCATGGTGGTGCGTGCCTGTGGTCCTAGCTACTCGAGAGGCTGAGGAAGGAGGATCACTTGAGCCAGGGAGGTGGAGGTTTCACTGAACCATATTCACACCACTCCGCTCCAGCCTGGGCAACAGAGCTAGACCTTGTCTCAAAAAATTAAGTTAGTTAAATTAAACATAAAGTTGCATTGTATTTAAGAAATTGGGAAAGCAGAAAATGCTTCTGTTTTTCTTTTGAGTTGAACAATGAGAACACATGGACACAGGGAGGGGAACATCACATACCGGGGCTTGTCAGGGGGGTGGGAGGCTAGGGGAGTGATAGCATTAGGAGAAATACCTAATGTAGATGATGGGTTGACGGGTGCAGTAAACCACCATGGCATGTGTATACCTATGTAACAAACCTCCACGTTCTGTACATGTATCTCAGAACTTAAAATGTAATAATAACAATAATAAAAACCTCAAAAAAAGGAAATGCTTCTTCTTAGAACAGATTACATACCCTCATTGCTTTTTATAATAGCCTGTAATAACAGAATATCCACAAGGTGGCAGTAATATATCAGTTTCATCCTCTGAAATTAAAACTTTTGCCTATTCAGTAATACAATGGATCTTTTGAACTCACTCTAACACGTAGAATACAGCAATTTGACTTAATAATTAGCCTTTAAATTTATAGTCTTGTATTATCACTTTAGTAGTTTGAATTATTTTGTATTTTAATATATTTAAATGAATTAGTCCTATAGAAATTGACTAATTTGACATGTGAAGGTGTTTTTATTCTATTTTCAGAAGTTTAGCTTTAAAAAAATTTCTAAACTTCGATATCTGGTGAGTGTCAATGTTTTTATCTTATTAAAAGCTGACAGACCACACTATATTCAACTGATTTTTTTTTAACAAGGATGCAAAATCAGTTTAAAGGAAGGATATCTTTTTCAACAAATGGTGCTACAGCAATTGGACATTCACAGGTACAAAAACTAAGACTGACCTAAATTTATACTTTATATAAAATTTAGCTCACATAAATCACAGGCTTAAATGTAAAATGTAATATTATAAAACTTAAAGTTGTGTATGGTAGCTCGTGCCTGTAATCCCAGCTACTACTCAAGTGGCTGAGGTGGAAGCATCACTTCAATCCAGCAGTTAGTGGCTGCAGTGAGCAATGATGGCACCACTGCACTACAGCTTGGGCGAAACCTCGTCTCAAAAATAATTAATAAATAAATAAATTCACTAAACTTTTTAAAATAGAAGAAAACTCTTGAGACCTTGGGCTAGGCAAAGAATTTTTAGGCTTGATATTAAAAACAAAATCTACAAAAGGAAAAAGTGATAAAACTGGACTTCATTAGAATAAATAAACACTTTTTTTTTTTTTTTTTTTTTTTTTTTTACTTAGAAAGACCCTGTAAAGAGGTTGAAAAAATGAATTACAGACTGGGAGAAATAATTTGCATACCATATATCTGACAAAGAACTTACATCTAGCATATGTAAAAAATTCTCAAAACTCAATGGTAATAAGATACCAATTAGAAAATAGGCATATGTGACCTCTCTGTATTATAACTTAAACCTCATGTGACTACAATTATTTCAAATGAAATAAACAAAACAGTAATGCCTGTTTCTGGCATATAAAATAATCAGAGAACATAGAATTGTACGAAGTTAAATTATTGGGCCATTTACTTAATTTAAATATTTTTAAATGCGTGTACCCATTTTGCTTGAAGGTGTGTGCAAGTATGCTTGTATTTTTTTAACGATAATATGGTCACATGAGCATTAAATTTATTTTTTAAAAGTTTATAGTTACCCCACACAAGTTCTTATTGATTCCCTCATTCTTAACACCTGCATAGTATTTCATTTTATAATTAATGGATTGTAGGTTTATTCTTTTAAAATCACTTGTGTTGTTCTCATTTTTTTTTTCACTAAAAAGTGTTGCAATGCACAAAACTAAAAATATAAGGAGGGTCTTTTCTGGATCTCTGTTGAAAAACTTTGAATAAAAATTACAAGTTCAAATCACATGCAAAATAAACATTTTAATTAATCGGGCTTTTATGCAAGATGTTAGTAGCAGTAGCAGCACAGTTTTATTAAGATCCCTGAATCTCTCACAAAAACTGACTGAGCAACTGGGATAACAAGGTATTAACTACGACAAAACAATGTAACAGGGTGTCATCATGGACGTTTTGTGAGGTTAAACCACAGGGACCCAGGGGAATCACCAATTTTTTTGGAAGAAGGAAAGGAAAGGAAAAAAATGTTTAATGGCCCTGGGAACTGGAAAACCTAGAAATACAAGTGCTAACATCTGTGTTCCTAAATTCAGAGATTCTTACTAGGCAAAAAGAACTCAGCAGATTAATCTGAGAACAGCAGCTGAGGCTGGCAGAAGGCTTCCTGGGCCTCAACTCATAGCTGAGAGTGAGGGTGGCAAAAAGCAGTGCTGTGAGTGGTCTGTTTCCTATGAACCCTACAAATTAACCACCCCCAAAACAAAGCCCTGTCCTAAGGAGAAACTGCAGGAAGTCAATTATAAATTGAGTTGGGAAGCACACTGAGGCTCAAGAAAAGGGAAGCTCCAGGTTAAGATGCAAGAGAAGAAGGGAAAAGGCAGTTTTCTGCAAGTTCAAGCACAAATAATTTCTTTACCTTCTAGTTCTGGAAATACCAGGTGCTGTGTATGTAAAGCAGGAATTTTGGTTGAATATTATATAATTTTCTGACCCACTGTTACTAATCCAGTTTCCCCTGTACTCAGATCTTCCATACTACAGACAGACCTGACAGATGCTCAGCAAATAGTAGCTAATATTTTCTAGGAAACTATGTGCTAAACGAGTTTTCTTAAATTTCTACCTCCAGGTCTGTAAGTTGATTTGAAGCATTACCAGTTTCTGGTTCTGCACAGGTTGTTGAGCGCAGGACTTCTCTCCTCCAGTGGAAAGTCCACCTGCTCACAATCAACCATCCTTTCCTGCAGCCTTGGAGACACTACTCAGTGTAGCATGCCTCCCAGTCTAGAATAGGCACACTCATCATCAGTCTCTCTCATTTTCTGTCTTATCTCCATTCCATCTACATACAGTTTTTGTTTTCACCAATGTTTTTAAATAAACAATTGTACAAGCACGACGACAACAGAAACCTTCCTTCCCCCAGTGTTGTAGTGAGCAAGGAATATATTTAACTTCAAATAAAAGACAAGAACAAATGCTGGATAAAGCTGACAGAAAGAAATGCAACTGTAGGTGCTCTGGCAATATAGAAATGATACAACTAAGAAAAATGGAAGAAAAGGAAAGAGAAAGTATTCCTCAGAATGATTTTACTGACTGCTCATCTGTAATGCCTGGGAGTCAAAGGATATTGTTTATAGAAATGTAAGCATACTTAATGGCACCAGGGGAAACAAAGTTAATATGATTAAATCAAATTGTGGGATGAAAAATCACATAGGGAGGACAAGAAAGAGAATACAGCTAATACCATTGTTCTTAGTTTAGAGACATTAGCTACTGTCTAAAGAAAGAGATGATTTTATGAAATTACATAAGGTAGCCATCAGAATAAAAGTTTAACTCTTCCAAATATCACAACATCAAAACAAAAGCAATAAAACAAGACAGCAAAAGACAGATATGTGCATATAAATCATAGCATAATATACTGTAATCAAAATATAACCAAACACAATTTATCATTAAAAGTAAGTGGGCTTGACTCTTATTAGAGGAAAAAATATTGTCAGATTAAATCAAAAAGCAAATCTCAATTCTATGCTGGATATAAGATAAAGTGTTACAGAAAGTTTAGAAATAAAAGTATAGGCAATGAATAAAAGGATCTTCTCTTCATGCGTTAGGAGTATAAAACAGTAAGTAAACACATCATATGTTTTCTGTTTTTACACTTAAATGGCTGGAGATGTTACACCACTAGTATGAATTTACTTCAGATATATAAAGGATACACTTTTATGTGGTTAGAAACAGCAATGATAATAGTTAAGGTGAAAATAACATCTGCATTGAGGCTAGGAAGAAAGAGCCATTGTTGGGTACATAGTGATCGTATTACCATGGAGCAATCTGTTCCCAACTGAAATGTCCTTGACCTTCTACTGAAATCATGTAAGATTCTGCAAAAGTAGTGTTTACTTCCCACAAATCAGCCATTTGTGGGAATGGCTGCTATTGTTGTCCACACGGAATGAGCATCAGACCTATATTTAGCTGTTGTTTCATTAAGAGTCGTATTTGGCCCTTTCCAGAGGCCGTTATTTCAATTACATTTTGGAGAATTAGTCTATTTCCAGACAAATAATTTTTCCAGAACTTTGATCCATATGAAATGTCCCTTTGGTAGGGATCCAGGGATTGAGTTTATTTTTAATTACTGTAGCATCCTGGTCAGGTTGAGAAACAGATTACCTTTATATTTCCCTGGCATGTAAGCAGGGCTAGATTTAGCGTGAGAATGCTTGAAAGTTTATAGTTTTTTAGAAATTTTATTTACTGTGTGTCTCTTTATCAAAATAAAATTAATGCTGAAAAGCTATATTAAATGAATTATTTTGAGATGGTCTCTTCCCCCTTCTTCCAGTGAGAGGATATCCACAGATATGTCAGGAGCTTGCTTTACCTAGAAATGTGTTGAGGGCCACAGGTTTGGGTTCACCTAGGAATGTTTAGGGACACCTCCCCAAGTTGTTGTTGAAGAGTGGGGTAAATGTAAGATAGAATTAGGCTCACGGAGGCCAGATGAGAGCATCATATCACCCCAGAAACATAGCATATACCTAGGAGATCTGTTCTCAGTATCAAAGTCTTAAGCACTGTAAGATTGCCTATAGACCAAGACAACAACTATATATATATATAGTTAATAAAATCAGTTAATATATAAACATATATTTATTAACTTATTTTTATTTTTATCTTCAGACAGCATCTTGCTCTGTCACCTAGGCTGGAGTGCAGTAGTGCAATTAAGGCTCACTGCAGCCTTGACCTCTGGGGCTGAAGCTATCCTCCTGCCTCAGTCTCCTAAAGTGCTAGGATGAGAGGTGTGAGTCACCTTGCCAGGCCCAGGGCAATAACTATGCAATGTTTATATAATTTGGAGCAAAAAATATTTGAAATATGTGTGCATTGCTTTTTAACCTTTTCTACTGATTTACTTTATTAAATACTGAATAGAAACAATATATTTATAAAATATTTATTTTATATATATAATAAGCACATAATGAACACCTGTGTCTCCAGTCTTGGTTTAAGAAATTAAGCCAAAAGTAATCATAAGTGCTTATGATTACTTTTGAAGTCACCTGTACAACTTTTGCTGACTACATCCCCTTCTTCAACACTCTAACGATGGCCACTGTGAGCACTGTGTATATTGAATTGTGTTGTATTTTAATACCGTGTGCACTACTTTGTTTTCCTAGCTGTATGCTATTGCATTTAGTGAGCATAATGAATTATATCAGTATAATTCACTTTTGTCATTTCATTGTTTCAGCTCTTCTGTACTAATTATTGCCAATATATTTCTACTGGCATAAAAACAGACACATAGGACAGTGGAACAGAATAGAGATCGCAGACAAATCTACACATTTACAAACAATTCATCTCTGACAAAGGCATCAAGAACATACACTGGGAAAACAACAGTCTTTTCAATAAATGATCCTGGGAAAACTGAATAACCATATGCAGAAGGATAAAATTAATCCCATCTCACCATACACAAAAATCAAATCAAATAAAAATGGATTAAAGACTTGAATCTGAGACCTGAAACTATGAAGCTAGTAAAAAAAAAAAAAAAATAGGAAAGGCCGGGCGCGGTGGCTCTTGTCTGTAATCTGAGCACTTTGGGTGGCCAAGGCGGGCGGATCACAAGGTCAGGAGATCGAGACCACCCTGGCTAACACGGTGAATCTCCGTCTCTACTAAAAATACAAAAAACAAAAAAAAAAATTAGCGGGGCATGATGGTGGGCGCCTGTAGTCCCAGCTACTCGGGAGGCTGAGGCAGGAGAATGGCGTGAAAAAAGAAAGAAAGAAAGAAAGAAAGAAAGCATAGGAGAAATGCTCCAGGACATTAGTCTGGGCAAAGATTTTTTTGCGTAAGACCTCGGAAGCACAGGCAACAAAAGCAAAAATAGACAATGGGATTATATCAAACTAAAAAGCCTCAAGCAAAGGAAACAATCAACAAAGTGAAGAGCCAAGCACAGAATGGGACAAAATATTTTCAAACTATCTATCTGACAAAGGGTTAACAAGTAGAATATATAAGGAGCTCAAACAACTCAATAATAAACAAACAAAAAATCTGATTGAAAAATGGGCTACTGAAGAGGCTGAGGTAGGAGGATTTCTTTTTTTTTTTTTTTTTATGAGATGGAGTCTCACTGTCGCCCAGGTTGGAGTGCAGTGGCGTGATCTCGGCTCACTGCAGGCTCTGCTCCCCCAGGGTTCACGCCATTCTCCTGCCTCAGCCTCCTGAGTAGCTGGGACTACAGGCGCCCGGCACCAAGCCCGGCTGATTTTTTGTATTTTTAGTAGAGATGGGGTTTCACCATGTTAGCCAGGATGGTCTCGATCTCCTGACCTCGTGATCCGCCCACCTCTGCCTCCCAAATTGCTGGGAATACAGGCGTGAGCCACCGCGCCCAGTCAGGAGGATTTCTTAATCCCAGGAGTTTGAGGTTACAGTGAGCTATGATTATGCTACTGCCCTTTAGCTTGGGTGACAAAGCAAGACCTTACTTCTCAAAAAAAATAGTTAAAAATATATAAATAAATACAATTTAAAAATGGGCTAAAGATCTGAACAGATATTTTCTCAAAAGAAGACAAACAAATGGCCAATAGGAAGACAAAAAATATTCAGTATCACTAATCGTCAAAGAAATGCAAATCAAAATCACAATGCAATATCATCTCACCTTGGTTGAAATGACTTGTTTCAAAAAGACAGGCAATAACAGATGCTGGCAAGGATGTGGAGAAAGGGAAATACTAGTACACTGTTGGTGGGAATCCACATTAATAAAGCCACTATGGAGAATAGTATGGAGGTTCCTCAAAAAAGTAAAAATAGAACTACCATGTGGTCCAGCAATTTCTTTACTGGATGTATATCCAAAATAAAGGAAATTAATGTATCAAAGACATATCTACATGCCGATGTGTACTGCAGCACTATTCACAATAGACAAAATATGGAATCAACGTAAGTGCTCATAAACAAATGAATAGATTTTAAAAGTCATATATATACATAATGCAATACTACTCAGAAACAAAGAAGAATGAAATTCTGTCATTCACAGCAACATAGGTGGCACTGGCCATTTGGTTTAACGTAATGAACATAGGCCATTATGTTAAGTGGAATGAGCCAAGCACAGAAAGGCAAATACCACATGTTGTCACTCATATGTGGGCAGTAAAAAAGTGGATCTCATGGAGATAGAAAGTAAATTGGTGGTTGCTAGAGGCCAGCAAGGGGAGTGGGAAGAGGAGATTAAGAGAAGAAAATATAAATGTATTTATCACCACTAAACTGTCCTCTAAAAATGTACAGATGGTAAATTATATATATATATATTTTAACTCAATAAAAAGTTAAAAAAATTCTGCTGTGTGTTTATAGGGCACATGTACAAGACTTTCTCTAGGGTTGTATCAGTTTTCTATTCCTGCTGTAACAATTTACCACAAATTCAGTGGCTTAAAAGAACACATTTTTGTAAGATTTGAGTCAGTTTTAAAAAACACACACAGACTTATTGTCTTAGAATTGTTTTGGTTGGAAATCTGGCATGGCTCTCACTGAACTAACATCAAGATGTTGGCAGGCTGCATTTCTTTCTGAAGGCTCTAAAAGAGCATCTGGGTTGTTGGCAGAATTCAGTTCCTTGTGGTTGTAGATCCTCAGTTTCTTCCTGGTTGTAAACTTTGGGTCATTCCCAGCTTCTAAAGGTCACTGGCTTTTCTTGGCTTGTGGCCCCCTACCACTGTTTTAAAAGCCAGTAATAGCAGGCCACATCTTTCTCATACTGCCATCTGTCTGAATCTCAGCATCCAGAAAATATTCTCTGCTCTCAAGGAATTATGAGATTAGACTGGCTCACCAAGGTAATTCAAGGTAATTTCCCCATTTCAATGCCCTTAATGGTAATCACATCTGCCAAGTCTCTGAACATGCTAACTTACGTTAGCATGTTCACCTTATCTGAAGACTGGGATGTGGCTGTCTTTGGTGGGGGGCAATTATTCTGCCTAACCCAAAGATACACAACTTGCAGATATACAACTAGTTCATGGAGATGAAACATTTTCAAATCTACAAGAAAATGTTTTCTAAAATGAGCATTGCGTATTAGACTTTCACGAGCACTGTATCAGACTTATATTTACTTCATAATATTGCCAATACTGATATCAGATATTTAATTTTCTAGCCAGTTCAGGATAATGTGAATTGTGAATAATATATTTGTTCATCCAGTCAACAAACATTTTTTATCAGATACCACCGATATGCTGGACAGTGTCATGGATCCTAAAAATATAGCTGTTATTATTATTTTTTTAAACAAAATCCCCACTGTGATAAAGCTTTTATTCTTTGGGACAGGCAGACAGTAATCCAGATAAATAAATGCAAGGGAAAATTGGGGGAAAAATTGGAATGGAGAGCTCAGAATCTGGCCCCAGAGAAGGGCAGAGGGAAAGGGGACCCAGTTCAGAATCTCGGTGCGTCCACACCAAACAATTCCATGAGGGCTGAAGAGACAGAGCTGAAAGGCTTGTCTGACATCACAAAAGACAGAAAAGTGAGCCCCATTTTCATCTCTATCCTGACAATGTTCCTGGCTTGATTTCCTCCTTCCAGCAGACAGAAGAATCAGGGAGCGCACCCTGATGGTAACATTTTTTTCAGGGGCCTATTTTGGGGATCCTGGTGAGAACCTGAGTCCGTCACTGTCCACGGCAGCCCAGCATGGTCCCCAGTGCGTGGTCCAAGGCCAAGATTCTCTACCTCCATCCTGGAGGCAGAAGAAATGTCTGGGGGAAAATGAGAGGTTTTAGGTGGTTGGCACTGGGTGAGACCAAGGAGAAATTTTAAAGCTGTGTGTCCTGGGGCCGGGGGTGGTGGCTCACGCCTGTAATCCCAGCACTTTGAGAGGCCGAGGCGGGCAGATCACGAGGTCAGGAGATTGAGACCATCCTGGCTAACGGTGAAACCCCGTCTCTACTAAAAATACAAAAAATTAGCCGGGCTTGGTAGCGGGCGCCTGTAGTCCCAGCTATTCGGGAGACTGAGGCAGGAGAATGGCGTGAACCGGGAGGCACAGCTTGCAGTGAACTAAGATCGCGCCACTGCACTCCAGCCTGGGTGACAGAAAGAGACTCCTTCTCAAAAAAATAAAAATAAAATAAAAATAAAAAATAGAAAAAGCTGTGTGTCCTGTTTCTTCATATTTTGCAGATTTTTGA
Source organism: Homo sapiens (assembly GCF_000001405.40). Lineage (NCBI taxonomy): Eukaryota > Metazoa > Chordata > Mammalia > Primates > Hominidae > Homo > Homo sapiens. The sequence goes on along the minus strand of NC_000009.12, from coordinate 65,229,414 downwards.
TGTCAAAATATTTTCATAGTCAAAAGAGTGTTAATAAAGAATGACTTCTCTGTTATAAAAACCCTAATAGTGAATGTATTTACCAAGAAATTAGATTCTATCTTTGGTTTTTTGTTTTTTGCCCCGTAGTTTTTAAAAAAATAGTTTTATTGTGTGGATATTCTACAGTTAGTGTATCTATTCACCTCTTGATGGACATTTGGTTTGCTTCCAGTTGTTTTTGCTATTTCAAATAAAGTTGCTACGAATGTTTGTCCAATCGTTTGGACATACACTTTCATTTGTCTTGGGCAAATAAGCAGGATTTGAATGACTAGGTGGTGTGATATGTTTAACTTTTTTTTTTTTTTTTTTTTTTTGAGACGGAGTCTCGCTCTGTCGCCCAGGCTGGAGTGCAGTGGTGCATCGCGGCTCACTGCAAGCTCCACCTCCCGGGTTCACGCCATTCTCCTGCCTCAGCTTCCGGAGTAGCTGGGATTACAGGTGCTCGCCACCACGCCCGGCTAATTTTTTGTATGTTTAGTAGATATGGGGTTTCACCGTGTTAGCTAGGATGGTCTCGATTTCCTGACCTCGTGATCCGCCCGCCTTGGCCTCCCAAAGTGCTGGGATTACAGGCGTGAGCCACCGCTCCCAGCCAGTTTAACTTTTAAAGAAACTGACAAAGTGGCTGTATTTCCAGCAGCAGTATATGAGCATTCCTGTTCCTTTGTGTTCTCACCAATGTTTAGTATGGTCAGTCTTTTAAATTTTAGCTATTCTAATAGGCAAGTAACAGTATCTCATTGTGGTTTTAATTTACATTTCCCTAATGATGAATGATGTGCTTATGTATCGTCCATCTGTATTCTATGGTGAAATGTCTGTTCAGATCTCTACATTTGTGTTAGACTATTTGTTTTCCTATTATTGAGTCCTGAGAGTTCTTTGCATATTTTGGATAACAAATGTATCTTCACCAGATATAGCTTTTGTAAATTTTTACTCCCAGTCTGTGATTTGTCTTTTTATTCTCTCGATAGTGTTTTTCTTTTTTCTTTTTTCTTTTTTTTTGACAGAGTCTGGCTCTGTCACCCAGGCTGGATTTCGGTGGCACGATCTCGGCTCACTGCAAGCTCCGCCTCCCGGGTTCACGCCATTCTCCTGCCTCAGCCTCTACGAGTGGCTGGGACTACAGGCGCCCGCCACTACGCCCCGCTAATTTTTTGTATTTTTGGTAGAGAGGGGTTTCATCGTGGTCTAGATCGCCTGACCTCGTGATCCACCCACCTCGGCCTCCCAAAGTGCTGGGATTACAAGCGTTAGCCACCGCACCTGGCCTCTGGACAGTGTTTTTCACAGGTCAGATTAATTTTTATATAAATCATTTATTTTATTTTTATTATGTAAAATTTTATAATTTTTAATTTTATTTTTAATTTCCTTTTTAAAAGTTAAATAAAATTTTAAGTGTAATGATGCAAAATTTTGTTTAAAAGTAAATGTATATAAAAATGTTGATATAGACTAAAAAATTGAATAAGTAAGAAGGTAGTTAGTTGTCACAGTAGGAGTGAAGTGAAAAGCTTCCCCTTTCACCCTCTGAAGATTACCGGAAATGAACTGACCATACACAGATTAATAAAAGAAAGGGTATACAAACTTACATAACCTGCAAAAACATGAGAGCTATACACAAAGTATAAGACTTGAAGATGGCTCAGATCTTAAACGCTCTCCTCATAGGCAATAGATATATAGACCCAGGATGCAGACATTATTTTGTAAATAATTTCCTTTGGAAGCTGGATGGGACAGACAAATTACAGGAAGGTGAGAGATGGAACTGCACAGGAAAAAAGTTTGTCTTTGTCACTTTAATCTTATCATTACTAGAGAATATTTATGAATATTTTAGAATAATATATTTTTAAGCCCAAATCTCACCAAATGTTTTTTCTAAAACAAATACTTTTTGTTGTTGTTTGTTTTTGTTACTGTGTCTCACTCTGTCACCCAGGTATGGAGTGCAGTGGTGCAACCATGGCTCACTGCAGCCTTCACCTCCTGGGCTCAAGTGATTCTCCTACCTCAGCCTTCCAAGTAGCTGGGCTACAGGCATGCACCCTCATGCCCTGGTAATTAAAGAAAAAAAAATTTCGTTAGAGACCAAGTCTCATTATGTCACCCTGGCTAGTCTTGAACTCCTGGAATCAACTGATCCTCATGCCTTGGCTTCCCAAATTATTGGGATTATAGGTGTGAGCCACAGTGACTGACCACATATTTCTATACTTCACTGAGGAAAGGAAGGTGCTAGGAAAATTGGTTAAGAACTATTTTTTAAAAAGCTATTAGTAGTGTTTTATTTTATTTTTTAATGATTGATTTTTGAGATTGGGATCTCACTATGTTGCCCAGGCTGGTTTCACATTCCCAAGTTTAAGCAATACCCCTGCCTCAGTCTCCCAAGTAGCTGGGATGACAGGTGTGTGTCACCATACCCAGCTCCATTAGTAGCGTTTTTAACAATTGTGGGCCACTGAGTAAGAATAATTTTTTTTAAATTAAAGGTTATTTTTTAAAAAGCACATTTGTAGAAAATTACTAGCATAATCTGCCTAAAATAAATATACATATTGAAAAAATCTTTGCTCCGAACAAAAAGAAATATATTCACCACACATACATACATATACACACACACACATGCACACACGCACACACACACACACACACACACACACATTATGGAAGATTTCAAGACCAGGCAATAATTTCCACTCAATCCAAAAACAATGCAATCCCAGAGCTGAATATTTAGGTGAAAATATATCAGGAATGGGAGGCATTCAGGTTTAATTTTCATGTTTTGGTAGAGTTAGGATGTGAGTTTTCATTTAAAAATATTCTTTATTTTTTTTGCTACTATTGTGGTTTCTGTATTGTTACTATACAATCTGTAAACTAAATAGTAAAGGAGAGAAAAGTGATTTTCAAAGAAGCTGGCTTGGGAACAGGTACTATTCTGGGAAGATGAAAGGTTTCACTTAATGACTGGTACCTGTGCCACTCTGGTTATTTTAACTGTTAACCTTTTAGCAAGAGGTTTTTCTTTTAAAAGACATCCTTTAATATTTGGGAAGCTAGTGCAATAGTACACATTGAGGCCCACATACCACATGCCAAATATTTAAAAGGCACATTTCTAGCTAACCACTGTACATACATATATTTTTTCTTATTTTCTGATTTTAGTTTTTTTCCTTGTCAACAATTTATGTCCACACATATCTTCTATCATCCCACTTTGACAAGTAATATTATACCTTCAAAATGATGTGGAAGACTAGATTGGAATTTAGAACCGTAGAACCTTGTAATTGTACAGGCAAGTTTCTTCCTGGGAAAAAATAAAACAGGAAGAAAAGGCTGGGCAGCCTCTGGTTCAGGAAGGAAATTCAGGAGTCCCTTATAGCAGCATCTCTAGTACTTGGGAACCGAACAGACTTCTCGGCCTGTGAGGCTGGAATGGGCCCTTCTGGAGAACACGACAGAGAAGTTATCTACTGCCTTTGCCCCCAGGGCCCAGGCAACACTTTTACCCTCCATTGTTTCCGAAGTTAAGGGGAGGAGACAATGTTTTGTTTAGTGACCTCGACAGAAAAAGTGTCCTCCTGCAACCACTCATTTGTTACTTTCCTTCTTCCTGAATTGCCTGGACCCACTCCTCCTCCATTTGACTGGCTCTGTGCACTGATCTTATAGTCAGGAGATTTTTGGGAATTGTGGCTTCTAAAAATGTACACCCGACTCTACCCATAGCTGGCCCTGTGAACCTACACACCTGCTCCACTGTGTATCCTTCTCAAAGAGACACTCTTCCTGCTGAGTCTCTGCCCTCTGCTCCTAGATCCAAATGGCATCTCCTACCCTATCCCTGTATGGTTTAACCCAGGGAAACTCTTTCCCAGAGGAGTCAGGTAAGGAGACAGTGGCTGAGCTTCTTACAGACTTAAAGGAGACATCCTGGAATTTAGGAGTCAGTCCTTCCTTTCTGTAATCCCTGGCAGCTTCTGCTGCTGCTCAAAGTTTAGCTTTGTCTCTCATCCAGCTCAGACTTTTGCTGGTCCTGATGGCCTCTGCTTAGCTGTATTAGTACGCTCTTGCATTCCTATAAAGAAATACATGAGAAATACCTTTAGTTGGCTCACAGTTCCATAGGCTATACAGGAAGCATGGTGGTTTCTGCTTCCGGGGAGGCCTCAGGAAACTTTTACTCAAGGTGCAGGGCAAAAAAAAAAAAAAAACAACAACAACAAAAAAAACTACCAGCACTGCACTGTGAGGCCCTGATCCCTGAGCTAACTTCATATTATTACCTCTACAGCAAGTGTCCGTGAGAACATAGATATATTTCTTATGTGAGTACACAATTTACAGAAGAGGAACTACCCTCCCAAACCAAAACAAAATGTCATAATTTTAATTTACCAGCAAACCTAGGTTGCTTCTGTGAAATGATCTCATTTGCTGAGTTTTAAAATTGACTAAATTTCCCAATTTCCAAATGAAAATATTTAGTTATCTTGTCTTGCTATGTGTTTTTGGTTAATATGATGATTAATTTTTGGTCTATTACTTAATATATACCATGATTGTTGATATGGATTATAAGGACTCACAAAATAGTTTTCAGATGTCTTTAATTTTTTTACTTAGTGTAGATCCTATAAATGGATTAGGAGTATTCTATTAACTCCCATGTATTCAGAAATCGAATTGGAGTGGTAAATTCTGTTTGAAGTAACAAGGGATATCAAAGGAAAAAAATAATTTTGTGACTATGTCTTCTATACGTAAATTTTTCAGGCATCTTTATCAATGGCTTATACTAAAGACATTTTCTGGATCATGGGTGACACACAGAAGACCTGTGGATAAGTGGCATTGTGTACACTACTGCATTTTATCATCTGGTTCATTTTTCAACTTTTATTTCTCTTAAGGATGTTTTATTAACTGGTGCATCACCAGGTTACCAGTCTCTGGAACACTAAACTTACCAGAAAATACTTGTTGATTGAATTAACAAGAAAACAACATTAGAAAACAGTGGTGGCTTGTTTTTGTCCATTGCAGTATCTTGGAGAGTAAAGCCTAACTCTTTAATTTTGGCCAAAGATATAAAGAAATACCTGAGAAACACCTTTAGTTGGCTCATGGTTCCGTAGGCTATACAGGAAGCGTGGTGGTTTCTGCTTCTGGGGAGTCCTCCAACACTTACTGGCAGGGTAATTTTGAAGAAGTCATAATAAGATGGTTGTTACAATTAAATGAAATAATCAAAGTGGAAGAGCTTAGTTAGCTGTCTTCCCTAAATGAATCACTGGCAAGTAAGAGTGTGATTGATTTTCCTACCAGTCAGGACTCACCCCTTGAAGCTATAGGAGGGTAAACCTCTGAAGACCATACAATTTAGGGAACACTAACACCTCAAAAAACTCTGTAAACTTCCTTCCTTCCTTTTCTTCCTTCCTTCCTTCCTTCCTTCCTTCCTCCTTCCCTCCCTCTCTCTCTCTCTTTTTCTTTCTTTGTTCATTTCTGAGACAGAGTCTTGCTCTGTCATTCAGGCTAGAGTGTAGTGGCTGGATTATGGCTCACTGCCGCCTTGACCTCCTAGGCTCAAGCAATCCTCTCACCTCAGCCTCCCTAGTAGCTGGGACTATTGGCATGCTCAGCTAATTTTTTTCTCCTTTTCTTTTTGTAGAGACAGGGTCTCATCATGTTGCCCAGGCTGGTCTTGGACTCCTTGGATCAAGCAATCCTGTTGCCTCAGCCTCCCAAAGTGCTGGATTACAAGCATGAGCCACTGTGCCCAGCCTTAAGTTTTTTTCATACAGGAGGAAAGAATTTGGAAAGTAGGTGTGTGTGTGTGTGTGTGTGTGTGTGTGTGTGTGTGTGTGTGTGTTGGTTAGGGAGCCAACACATTTTTCTGCAAAGCTTGAATTCTATGCCTCAGTTTTTCATTTTTGTTATGTGCAAAATAAAATCGTATCCTGCTATAGATTTAAACCTGTGAGCGAATCCTACTCAAAACCTGATTCAAACTTTGTGTAGATCTTTGCCTCTCTGTGGCATAAGAATAAATTCTTCTGGTTTTCTTCCCTCAGAAAAATGGACTTAGACTTCCCACAAGCCTTCCAGAAAGAACTCACCTGCCTCATCTGCCTGAATTACCTCATAGACCCCATCACTATAGGCTGCGGGCACAGTTTCTGTAGGCCCTGCCTCTGCCTTTGCTGGGAAGAAGCACACACTCCTGCCCTGCATGCAGGGAATTGTCACAGCAGGAAGATTTCAACCAATATTCTTCTGAGGAATCTAGTGTCCATTGCCACAAAAGCCAGTCTCTGGCAATTCCTGAGCTCTAATGAACAAATGTGCGGGATCCACAGGGAGACAAAGATGTTCTGTGATGTGGGCAAGAGCCTGCTCTGTTTTCTGTGTTCTAACTCTCAGGAACACTGGGGCACAGAAACACTGGCTCACTGAAGGGGCAGCTAAGGAACACTGTGTAAGTGATGACTCAGAGCACTTTGAAAGCTGGAGGGCAGCACAGGTAAAGAGATTAGGAGGAAGATGAAGAGCACGAGGATTAATCTATTCTTTACCGAGTGTCATGTACTGCCTAGGTATCAGTGATATAACTATTATCCTGCTATCAAATCTACTGATAAGTGGCTCATTTAACTTATAGGCACTCATCACAATGCAAGAAATCCTCTGACTGCTCCTACCATCATGGCCCCTAGCCATGATATGACTTGTCTCCACACTAGCAGAAACTAATCGAGTCCCTATATTAGGGATAAGTGGCATTTATATATATATATATAATTTTTATATATAATTTTTATATGATATATAAAACATAAATAAATATTTATACTATATTATATACATATATACATACATATATATATTACATACATATATACATATATATATATATATATATATATATCACAATGCCAAAAATGTTTTGTCTTCGAAATAATCACAGTGCATTTGGAGAGACAAATGCATCTACAACCAGGCGACAACACTGAAAATAAAATTGTAGCAGTTTGAATAGGGGATTAAATGAGTTAATTTTTTCCTGGGGTTCAAAAAAAGAAACAGCAGCAAAAAATGGTACTTAAGATTGAAAGTTGGCCGGGTGCAGCTACTCATGCCTGTAATCTCAACACTTTGGGAGGCCAAGGTGGGCAGATAACCTGAGGTCAGGATTTCGAGACCAGCCTGGCCAACACGGCGAAACAACACCATTACTAAAAATACAAAAATTAGCTGGGCATGGTGGCAGGTGCCTGTAATCCCAGCTACTCGGGAGGCTGAGGCAGGAGAATCTCTTGAACCCAGGAGGCAGAGGTTGCAGTGAGCCAAGATCACGCCATTGCACTGCAGCCTGGGTGACAAAAGCAAAACTCCATCTCAAAAAAAAAAAAAAAAAGAAAGTTCTGGGTTATGACACAGAACAAATGCAACATGAATATGTCATGGTTATGAACATGTAGACTACTCAAGATTGTGTATTTTTAAAATAATAGAATACTAGGTTAAAAAATGAGCATTACAGAATGAAAAATAAGCCACAAATTAGCAGAAGATAATTGTAACACATAAAAACAAAGGATTAAATACAATGGTAATGTAATGATAGCTATTCTTACAAAGTTGTTTCTATGTCTCAGGTACTATGCTGAACAACATACGTGCATCTTGAATGCGTGAAGAATTCCTATATAAGAAAAACACAAACAACAACATTTAAAATGAGCAAAAAACCCGAATAGGAATTTCACAGAAGAGAAAACATAAATGGCCCATAAACATAATAAAAGATACTCAACTACAATTCTAATCAGGGAAATAAATATTAAAACCCCAAAGAGATACCACTTCATACTCTAGGAAAAACCTAAAAGGCTGTGAATATCTAGTTTCATTGAGGAAGAACAATGGGAAGACTATTCACTGCTGGTGAGGGTGTAGATTGGTACAACTGCCTTGGAGAACAGTATGATGCCACTCAATAGAGCTGAACACACACATGCCCAATGACCAAGCAATTCCACTCCAGGTACATACTGGAAAAATACTCCTGCACAAGTAGAATAGGAGACACTGCATAACAAAGTTCACTACAACATGAGGCTGAGGTGGGAAGATGGCTTGAGACCAGGAGTTCGAGGCTGCACCAGTAGCTGGGACTATAAGCATGTGTCACCGTGCCTGGCTAATTTTTTGCTGTTGTGGTTGTTGTTAGAGATGAGGTCTTCCTTTATTGAACAAGCTGGTCTCCAACTCCTGGCTTCAAGTGATCTTCCCACTTCTGCCTCCCAAAGTGCTGGGACTACAGGTGTGAGCCACCATGCCCAGCCAAGTTCTGCTTCTTAACCTGAGGTAGATACTTTGATGTTTCATTTTCCTTTATTGTACAGATATACTTTATATTCTCATATGTGACACAAGTCAAAATTTAAAAAAACAATTTAATGTTTATTCCCTTTAGATGAATGATGGGCAAATTTACATAATGAATTCATTACTGAAACAATGTATAGATTTCAGACTAGGAAAGTAACTATTTATAAAAGAAAAGCTTAAAACCTGAAACAGAAACAAAATCCTGAAACTGTAAAATTGAGTCAAACTAAAATTTAAAAAACAAAGCAATGATATAAAGTATCATTTGTCCAAATGTGTTCTACAAAACGCTTTTTTCTTAAATATGTCTGAGGAAAAACAGGTTCTAGGAGTAAAATATGTTTGAAAAATGCTGAGTTAAACAACTGAACCTATGAAGGAAGGAATAGAACTTCTCAAGCTCTTGACTCTGGAATCTTTTTTACATGGCAATTAACACCATGCTTCTTCTTGGATTTGTATTTCAGATAAACACAATCTGGGAAACATTTTATAATACAGAGGGCCACACCAGATTGAATATTGCCCCCAGGAATGAAATGAAAACAGGAATGGATTCTCCAGTAAGAGGTACCCAGATATCCTAATCTTCAGTAGCTGACCTAAACCCTGGACAAGTGGGATCAAATCCCATAACCAAACACAACTTTTTAGGAACTAAGTGGATAATCACTCTGTGTTGTATGAACATGTGGGCAGTGTGTTTCCTACACAGCTTAAAAGTGCAACAAAAAAAGATCTAGGTGTCATATAAAGAATTTCTACCACTGTTAGGGTAATGGTGGACTGACAGGCAGAGGGGCTCAGATGTGACTTAAGTAAAGTTCAATAGAAGCTTCCAGCACAGATATTCATGTTTCAAATTGGACCGCTCAGTTAAAAAGTTTTCCCATTAGACTTCCCCTAATCAAATTAGAAATTATCTAATTTTCTAATAAAGTTTTCCCCAGGCACAAGGAATCTGTGAACTGGACCTAAAAAATTCTTCGTAATGTGCTTTTATTACCATAAAAGATGCACATTTATTTTAAAAACTTCTCTACACCACTATCATAAACCTTTGCACACACATTTCTTTTGGAAGCTAACTTCTGAGTGGTAATGAAATATATTCTTAAGAAAAAAGTCCGACACAATGCCTTTGCGTCTTAAAATATGTTAAAATATTATTTGAAAAGAGTCAAACATCTGTCTTTTCAGGGTATCACAGGGCGTCAAACTGGAAAATGTGGCACTGCCTGGAGTTTCTACCTGGTGAAGGGTGGCAGACTTTTCTCTTCAGAGGACTCTTGACAGGGTAGCATCCATTATCTTGCCAATTTACTACAACCTAGGCCCAATCCTCAGTCTTATAGGTTCAGAAATTTATTTTTATCAGCATCAACAGGGTAGCTACATTGCTTAGAAGCAAACAAAATTAACCATGCTTCAATAGAAATCAGGATATAGATGTATTAATACAGAATGACAAATATAACTGTGACAGAAATAGGAATGCCTGTTTATGGTCATATACGGCCAATACTTTCATTACAGCCAAACTCATATATGCAGCCAAATAAGAGGCCCCTGGATACACAGGGAATCAGAATAAAAAAAGAAGAACTGAACATTTAATAGTCTTCTTTCATTCAATCAATAATTTTTTTTAATTAAGCAACTACTATGTCTGGGTAACCTTCTAGGTCCTGGGGATACAGAGGTCTCTGCTTACAGAAGTCATATGTAAGTAGCAGGTGAAGAGTATGTGTTTCACAGAAGTTTATTACAATATATTAACAAGAGCAAAAAATTTTGGAAGCAATCTAAATGTTCAATAATAGAGCTCCAATTAAATAACAATAAATCCAAATAATGAAAAATAATGCAGCCCTTTAAGAATAAGCACTTGCAAGCCGTAATTCATGACATGGGAAAATTATCATAATGGAAAAAGAAGCAAGCTATATACAGTGCATGATCCTATACACACACATACATACATACATATTTCCTATCCCTTTATATGCATAAGAAAACAAGCGGGAGGAAAGTCGTATCTTTAGTCAAGTCTTGTTTACTAACGTACTATTAATGATTATCTTTTCTTTTTCTTTATACCTTTTTGCATTTTTCAATTTCCTAAAATAGCCTTACATGCCTTTTATCACCAGGAGAAAAATTACTTCTAAAGTAATTTCAGTCAACATGCATACTAAGAACTCTTCAGATTTATCTGTTAGAAGCTGTGCATGAATGCCAGTCCTTGCATCTGTCTTGGAACTCACAGAGAGCTCTTTTCCCATGGCTTTAAGCAATACTCAAAAAGACTAGCATACCTGAATTTCCTAGTCCTATGTTTTTTTCATCCAACAGCCAGTCTTGTATTTCTAGCTGTTTTCTAAACATTTCAACCAAACCATTTTACAGATAACTCATACAGTCATCCTTTGATATGCATGGGGAATTGGTTCCAGGATCCCCCTTGTATACCAAAATCCATGGATGCTCAAGTTACTGGTATAAAATAGTGTAGTATTTGCATATAACCTACACACATCCTCCTATATACTTTAAATAATCTCTAGATTACTTAATAACAATTAATACGATGTAAATGCTACGTAAATAGTTGGTATACCATGTTGTTTTTTATTTGTATCATTTTTTATCGTTGTATTGTTTTTTCTGACAATTTTGTTCCACAGTTGTTTGAATCAGTGGATGCAGAACCCATGAATATGGAGAGTCAATTGCATTTTATTATGCCCAAAGGTAAATGCATAATTTTTCCACACAGCTAATCTTCTAGCAACCCCATTGCTGTCCATGGCAAACAGGCTTAGTTAATCTCGCCCTTTCCCGTTTCAGGTTCATTATACACCATGGAATACTATGCAGCCATAAAAAATGATGAGTTCATGTCCTTACTAGGGACATGGATGAAGCTGGAAACCATCATTCTCAGCAAACTATCGCAAGGACAAAAAACCAAACACCGCATGTTCTCACTCATAGGTGGGAATTGAACAATGAGAACACTTGGACACAGGAAGGGGAACATCACACACCAGGGCCTGTTGTGGGGTGGGGGGAGGGGGGAGAGATAGCATTAGGAGATATGCCTAACATAAATGATGAGTTAATGGGTGCAGCACACCAACATGGCACACGTATACATATGCAACAAACCTGCACATTGTTCATGTGTACCCTAGAATTTAAAGTATAAAAAAAATAAAAAAATAAAGAAAGAAATAGATGTTCTGTAAAAATATACACAATTTTTACAGACAAATACATTTATAAGTTGTTTTTATCTTAAAAATTGGGGATATTTCATATTTATAACTAAATATTGAGCCTTAAGTTTTCTTGGCCATTTCTAGGCTAATAAACTAAGAATCATGTAAACTAAGCCAAAGTAGAATAGACATAAAAGTCCTGAACACTTCAACTTCCTATCCTTCAAGAAGTATACCTCGCAAAGCTCATTTGAGAGAGGAAAAGCTTTCCTCCACCCTCGGTTTTACAGTGCTGAGGCTTCTCATCACATTTCTATGACTTGTAGCTTAAATCCATGTTACATGGTCACTGGCATTGTTAGTGCTTCTCTTTTAACACTGTAGGAATTAATCAATTTGGTGGCATATTTAATTAATTCTATCACTAGAGGATTGTAAAATTACATATATGAATACCTCACTTTAGAGGCCACTTAATTTTTTTCCAAGGGGATATTTGACTATATTTCACTTGTGTCTTATTTAATGATTTTATAATTTAAACCCTAAATTATAAATCTAGAATTTAGAAAGTATATTTCCCCACTGGATTACATTTTTGGAAATATTACTTTATATGTGCACAAATATTACAAAATCACTGTAGACACCTGAAAACTATATTATCTTTTAAAGACAATATTTACATTAAACTGGTATAACAAAATTGTTTGGTGCATTTTTTCCAGTACATTTTGTGTATATTACATGTTTAACCTTTTTTTATTCAGCAAATAATTTTTGAGTATCTACTAAGTGCTAGGTTCTGCATTACTAACTGAATTTAAAGAGTGAAATAACAGACATGGTCTCAGACAATAAAAATTAACATTAGGTCACTTATTTATATATTTTTAAATGGTAATTATGAAAACTTTTTGAGATTTTTAACTAGATAACATTATAATAACGCACTTGATGTTGTTAATAGTTGCCAGTGAGCAAAAAAGAAAATAAAAAGATGGTTTTATTCAATATACACTTTAAAATTGCAGAAAATAGTCAAGTTTCTCTGCTTTGCAGTTGAATGTCTATGTGTTTTTCTCTGCAACTTGGCTTTTGTGGAGTGAAACAATTATTCTTCCAGCCCAATGAAGGCAGACGAGTAACAATAAATCTAATATTTTAAATGCTTATCAAAAGATAGTAAACACATTATTTCAGAATACTGAGTTCAATAAGTTGACCTACAAAAAAAGCCAAACTGACAGTATTACTGAATAAGGAAAGGCCCAAAGAGACAAAATACTTTTTATTTTGTAACCTCGGTATGACACAACTTACCCTAACTATAAAGACCCTAAATTACCAAGATGGGTGCTTATAATATGGAGAGTTACAAAGTCATTTCACTTTTAGCTTTTTTATTTCTCTCAGAATAAAAAGTGTATAAGGAGTTGATAAAGAAGTTGATACTATAAGTTAGTACTACAATGACAGCACTTTTCAAGAAAAGACTTTTTTCTCTCTTACAAATATCATGTTAGCAGTATTTGTTTTCTCCAGAAATAATGAGTAAATAAAAACATAAGTATGTGGGTAATTAGTGTAGTTTCTTAAATAAATGAGTTAGGCAACAGGCTAATAATGTATATTTCACTGGCTTTTCAATGCCAACAATCATATTCTTTATAAGGCACAGAGAAGATTTTTCTAAAGAATAAGTATGTGAACCTGAAAAGTAATCACCACTTGGTAGTGACAATATGGATAGGGTGAAGGGCGTCACCAAGAAGCAATGAAAAGATACATTTGCAGTTAAATTTGAAAACCATGATGTTTAATACATATAGTAATAAAGAATACTTTCTCCTGTCTCAAAATTATTTTAGAATTTAAGATAGAAGCTAAAATACCTAGGGATAATGATATGACTATCAAAAATTAAAAATTAAAGGATATTTTGAGTATTATAAATTAAGAATGAGAACTTATTACCCAATGAACAGGGGATAATTCATTATGCTCCATATCCATTGAATTAAAAGACAGGCCCATTACCTGGATAATTTGAAAGTTTAATTTTATTTAAAAGTCTTGTTTCATTCATCAAGCTAAAGGATTAGCTCCCAGAAATATTCCAGGATTGCATATCCCCAACTCTGTAGGAAGTATAGAAAGAATGTTATAAGGGTCACCATCTAAACATTATTATATAAATAATTTAGTACCATTCCATTTGCCTTTGTAGATTTAAAAATGTAAATGGCTTTCTCATATTAGGAAACATCACTTTTCAAAACCCAGGTAAACATAGTATATTGCAAGAGAATAATTATTTTCTTTATTAAAAAAGAAATACTGGATGCTAAGTCCAAAAGACATAAATTATTTTATACTAATAACTACTAATATTTTATTCATTAAAATATAAAGGTCAAAGATTTCAAAATGATCTTTAAATGATTAATAACATGTTGATCTTTTTCTTCTTTCTGTAAACCTTTTTGAGTCTTAACAATACTAAACTATACAAGCAATATTAAATAGTATATAAACTTGGATTAAAATATTCAAATTTACTAGAATGTGGACATTGGAAAGAATGAAAATAAACAGAAGCATAAAGCAGCAGATATAAAATTAAGAAAGCAACTAAGAGTGTTTAAAGTGCATATTCATCTGTAGTCTAATGTCTACCATAAACAATGACTCTTCTCAGTAAAACACAAATTGTTCATGAAGGGAAAAAGCATGTTGTATTGGAGCATATTCAACATAATTTTTTTAGTACTAACTTGTGCCTGGAGTATTATTGGTTTTTCTATTATGAACTTATGCACTTGATAATTTTTTTCATCAAAATTGTATGTACAACTCCATTCAAAAGCAGTTTTTGGTCGTTTTTTTTTTTTTTATTTTGAGACAGAGTTTTGCTCTTTTCACCCAGGCTGGAGGGCAATGATGCGAATTTGGCTCACAGCAACCTAGCAAATTTTGCCTCCCAGGTTCAGGTGATTCTCTTGCCTCAGCCTCTCGAGTGGTTAGGACTACAAGCATGCACCACCATGCCTGGCTAATTTTGTGTTTTTAGTAGAGACATGGTTTTGCCATGTTGACCAGGCTGGTCTTGAACTCCTGACCTGAGGTAATCCGCCCACCTTGGCCTCCCAGAGTGCTGGGTATGGGCAAGAGCCACCATACCTGGCCTCAAAAGCAGTTTTTAAAAGCAAACACAATATAACACCAAAGTTGAAAAATCCATGCTCACTCAAGGATGCCAGGTTTAATAAATTATTGATAGAATACTACATCAAAAATAAGACAATAAACCAAAATATACCATTAAAGATGTATCCACTCCTACAACTAGAGATAACTAATCTATCTGGTAGCAAATGATACTTCAATCAGTTTCAGCATGTCTGAAATCTTTAAGGACAAAAGTGATAAAACATGACTTCATTCTTCATTAGCCTCTTAGAACACTTGAAGGAAAATAATTTCTGAAGCACGAAGAGGTAAAGAGGTGTAATCTTTCAAAAAGATATTCAGTGTTCAAAATCCAAGAGTGCAATATCAGGCTGGGTGCGGTGGCTTATGCCTGTAATCCCAGCACTTTGGGAGGCCATGGTGGGTGGATCACCTGAGGTCAGGAGTTCGAGTCCGGCCTGGACAACAGGGTGAAACTCTGACTGTACTAAAAATACAAAAATTAGCCAGGCATGGTGGTGTGCACCTGTAGTCCTAGCTACTTGGGGGGCTGAGACAGGAGAATCGCTTGAACCTGGGAGGTGGAGGTTGCAGTGAACCGAGATCATGCCACCTCACTCCAGCATCAGTAACAGAATGAGATTCCATCTCAAAAAAAGAAAAGAGTGTAATATCGGTATACACAGATAATATACTGAATGAAACAAATAGAATAATTTGAAGAGGTATCTTGATGAACAAGGAGTCATTAGAAAGGTTGTATTTATGTCTTTGAAGGAAATTGCAATGTGAGAAATTAATACTTTGACTACTATACTAAAAGTTTATTGCTAACATCTATTGAGTTATTAACGTGTGTTAGGCAGAGTACCATATAATTTACAAGTGTTATCTCATTTATTGTAGGTAAAATGTAATTTCAAACTCTGGGAGTATAAATGAATTAGATAGAATAAAATTCTATTTAAATGGCCATCAGTAAATCGGTATCTAGGAACAGGGTGATACAGTGCCCAAGTTTTCTATTCTTACTAAATGTTGTGTTTCCTTTTCAATGTTTTCTTGGATATTGCTCTTTTTTGGTGATTTTGATTTTTTTTATTTTAGAAAACTAATAAATTGACTCTTCTTGGTACTGACTCGGGTTTTATAGAAGAAAAAGTAATTAAATTCTGTACATTTACCTTTACCTCATTTTTTCTCTTTTAAATTTACTTTAATTGACATACAATAAATGTACATGTTATGGGGTACAGAGTGATATTTTGATATATTTATGCAATGCGTAAAGATCAAGTCAGAGTCATTATCATATCCATTACCTAAATCATGTATTATTTCTTTGCAGTGAGAATATTCAAAATCTTTTCTTTTAGTTATTTGAAAACACACAATAAATTCCCATTAACTACAGTCACCCAACAGTGCTGTAGAGAACTAGAACTTCTTCCTTCTCTCCAGCTGTAATTTTGTATGTATTAAGCACATTTTTCTTATACTCTTCTTTCTCCTACTCTTTCCAGGATATGGTAACCAAAACTCTACTATCTACTTCTACGAGATTAAAAATTTTAGCTTCCATACATAAGTGAGAACACGTAGTTATGTGGTGTTTATATTTCTATGCCAGGCTTATTTCACCTAACATAATGCCCTCCACTTGCATTCTTGTTGCCACAAACAACAGGATTTTGTTCTTTATTATGACTAAATAATATTCCATTATATATGTATGTCACATTTCTTTATCCATTCATCTGTTGATGGACACTTTTGTCGATTCCATATCTTGGCTATTGTGAATAGTGCTGTAATAAACATGGGGGTGCAGGTAACTCTTTGATATACTGATTTTCTTTCCTTTGGATATATACTGAAAACCATATGATTAAATTAATAAACACAATAAAAGCGTTTGGCAAAATTAAATATTCTTACATGACAAAAAACTTCTCAACAATTTAGTATAGAAAATATATGCCTTAACACAAAGGACATAAAGGACAAATCTACAGCTAAGATCATACTGAGTGTGGAAAAGGTGAAAGATTTTACTGTGAACAAGAAAAAGATTTTACTGGAACAAGAAAAGGATGCCTATTCTCACCAATCATATTTCACATAGTGAAAGTCTTAGCCAGGACAATTAGGTGAGAGAAAGAAATAAAGGACATCTGAATTGGAAAGGAGACAGTCAAATTGTCCTTGTTTAAAGACAATGTGATCTTATACATGGAAAAAAATAAGACTCTACCAAAAGCTTCTCAGGGTGATACATGAAATTAATAAAGTTGCAGGATATAAATCAACATACAAAAATCAGTAGCATTTCTATATATTGATAGTAAACTAGCTGAAACAAGAAATTAAGAAAGCAATTCCTTTTACAATAGCTACAAAAATGTACTTAGAAATAAATTTAACCAAGTAAAAGATTTCGACAACAAAAATGACAAATATTAATGAAAGAAATTAAAGAAAACATAAAAAAGCAAAGACATCCACGTTTATAGATTGAAATAATATTCTTAAAATGACCCACTATCCTATGTGATTTACAAATTTAGTACAATCACTAGCTTGTATTTTTAAAAGCACCTTTGCTGCATATTCTTAACATATTCAATGACAATGCCTGGATTTAAGTTTGAGGTATTATTATATCTATTTTATACTGGGCACAATATAATGTTATCAGAGGTAACGGTTTTGATTGGTCCTAGGTCATACAGTAATATATACATTGTCATTTATAGACATGCTATCTTTTAATACTCAGGCATTTAGAAAGTTCATTTAGACAAAGTTATAAAAACTTGCCTTCCTTTCTGCCTATATCACCTAAAAATCCTAATTTAAGAGGTAATAACATTTTTTATTTGATATACAATTTATCAACACAATAAAAATCTAACAATTATCATGTGCAGAGTGTGAAAATCTCATCAGATTAAGGAACACAAAGACATCTTTTTCATATTTTGAATGTAAAACTGTTTTGGAAACTGTTATTTTTAGAAACAGTTAAAAACATTGTTTCATTAGTTTTTCATGTAAAATTGTGACAACCAGCATGAAATAACTGTCATCACAGAAGCATGGTATATTCGATTCCGAAACATATTCTTTGTAAGTTTTAATATATTTATGTATTATTTATACTTAATTGTAACCCATAATGTACAGATATTATTTTTCCTTCAACTCTTAAGAATATTCTTAAATAATAAAATTAATGAATTATAATTTTTGTTGGTTGGGAAAAAGATACACACGTGACAGTGCATCACTTCACCTCATCATTTCATCTCATTTCATCTTATCCCATCTCATCTCATCATTTCATATCATCTCATCATTTCATCTCATCATTTCATCAAATCTCATCTCATCTCATTTCCATTTCATTTTCATTATTTCATCATTTCATTTCATTATTTCATTTCATGTAATTTCATTTATTTCATTATGTCATTTCATATCATCTCATTTCATTTCATGTCATATTTTTTATATCATTTTTCGTATCATTTTTCATCTCATTTCATCTCATGTCATATTTTTTATATCATTTTTCGTATCATTTTTCATCTCATTTCATCTCAATTTCATCTCATCATTTCATCTCACCTCATCATTTCCTCCTTTCTTTTCAACATTTCATCTCATTTCCTCTCATCTCATTTCAATTTTATTTCGTTATTTCATCTCATTTCATTATTTCACCTAATTTCATTATTTCATCTCATCTCATCTCAATTCATCTCATCTCATCTCATCATTTCATCTCATCATTTTTCATCTCATCATTTTTCATCTCATCATTTAATCTCATTTCATTTCATCTCATTTCAGCTCATTTCATGTCACATCTCTTCATCATTTCAACATTTCATTTCATCTCATTTCATCTCATCTTTCAATTTCATTTCAATATCATCAATTCATCATTTCATTTCACTTCATTATTTCATTATTTCATTTCATTTCAATTCATCTCATCATTTTTCATCTCATCATCTCATTTCATCATTTCATCTTCACCTCATTTCATTATTTCATTTCATTTTTTCATTTCATTGTCATTTCATTTCATCTCATTACATTTCATCTAATTTCATTTCACCTCATTTCATCTCATCATTTCATTTCATCTCATCATTTCATCTTTTCATCTCATTTCATCTCATCATCTCATCAACTCTTTTCATCTTATCATTTCATTTCATCTCATCATTTCATCTCATCTCGTATCTTATCTCATTTCAATTTCGTTTCATTATTTCATGTCATCTCATCTCATCTCATCATTTCATCTCATCATTTCATCTCATCACCTCATCATTTCATCATTTTATTTCATCATCTCATCATTTCATCTCATCTCGATTTTATTTCAATTTCATTTCACTATTTCATTTCATCTCATCATTTCATCTCACCATTTCATTTCATCATCTCATCTCATCATTTCATTTCATCATTCATCTCATCATCTCATCATTCATCTCATCATTTCATATCATCATTTTATCTCATCTATCATTTCATCTCATTTCATCTCATCTCATTCCATCATTACATCTCATTTCATCTCATTTTATGTCATCATTTCATGTCATCATTTCATCACATCTCATCTCATCATTTCATCTCATCATTTCATCATTTCATCTCATTTCAACTCATTGCATCTCAGCTCATCATTTCCATTTCATTATTCCGTTTCATCATTTCATTCATTATGTCATTTCATCTCATATTTCATCTCATCATTTCATCTCATTTTATCTCATCTCATTTCATCATTTCATCTCATCATTTCTTACCTCATCATTTCCATTTCATTTTCATTTCATTATTTCATCATTTCATTATTTTATTTCATCTCATTTCATTATTTCATTTCATTATGTCATTTCATTTCATCTCATTACATTTCATCTAATTTCATTTCACCTCATTTCATCTCATCATTTCATTTCATCTCATCATTTCATCTTTTCATCTCATTTCATCTCATCATCTCATCAACTCTTTTCATCTTATCTCATCATTTCATCATTTCATCTCATCATTTCATCTCATCTCGTATCTTATCTCATTTCAATTTCATTTCATTATTTCATGTCATCTCATCTCATCTCATCATTTCATCTCATCATTTCATCTCATCACATCTCATCATTTCATCATTTTATTTCATCATCTCATCATTTCATCTCTCATTTCGATTTCAATTTCATTTCACTATTTCATTTCATCTCATCATTTCATCTCACCATTTCATTTCATCATCTCATCTCATCATTTCATTTCATCATTCATCTCATCATCTCATCATTCATCTCATCATTTCATATCATTTTATCTCATCTATCATTTCATCTCATTTCATCTCATCTCATTCCATCTCATCTCATTCCATCATTACATCTCATTTCATCTCATTTTATGTCATCATTTCATGTCATCATTTCATCACATCTCATCTCATCATTTCATCTCATCATTTCATCTCATTTCAACTCATTGCATCTCAGCTCATCATTTCCATTTCATTATTCCATTTCATCATTTCATTCATTATGTCATTTCATCTCATATTTCATCTCATCTCATCATTTCATCTCATTTTATCTCATCTCATCATTTCATCATTTCATCTCATCATTTCTTCTCATCTCATCATTTCCATTTCATTTTCATTTCATTATTTCATCATTTCATTATTTTATTTCATCTCATTTCATTATTTCATTTCATTATGTCATTTCATTTCATCTCATTACATTTCATCTAATTTCATTTCACCTCATTTCATCTCATCATTTCATTTCATCTCATTTCATCTTTTCATCTCATTTCATCTCATCATCTCAACCCTTTTCATCTTATCTCATCATTTCATCATTTCATCTCATCATTTCATCTCATCTCGTATCTTATTTCATTTCAATTTCATTTCATTATTTCATGTCATCTCATCTCATCTCATCATTTCATGTCATCATTTCATCTCATCACATCTCATCATTTCATCATTTTATTTCATCATCTCATCATTTCATCTCATTTCGATTTTATTTCAATTTCACTATTTCATCTCATCATTTCATCTCACCATTTCATCATCTCATCTCATCATTTCATTTCATCATTCATCTCATCTCATCATTCATCTCATCATTTCATATCATCATTTTATCTCATCTATCATTTCATCTCATTTCATCTCATCTCATTCCATCATTACATCTCATTTCATCTCATTTTATGTCATCATTTCATGTCATTTCATCACATCTCATCTCATCATTTCATCATTTCATCTCATTTCAACTCATTGCATCTCAGCTCATCATTTCCATTTCATTATTCCATTTCATCATTTCATTCATTATGTCATTTCATCTCATCATATTTCATCTCATCTCATCATTTCATCTCATTTTATCTCATCTCATCATTTCATCTCATCATTTCTTCTCATCTCATTTCCATTTCATTTTCATTTCATTATTTCATCATTTCATTATTTTATTTCATCTCATTTCATTATTTCATTTCATTATGTCATTTCATTTCATCTCATTACATTTCATCTAATTTCATTTCACCTCATTTCATCTCATCATTTCATTTCATCTCATCATTTCATCTTTTCATCTCATTTCATCTCATCATCTCAACCCTTTTCATCTTATCTCATCATTTCATCATTTCATCTCATCTCGTATCTTATCTCATTTCAATTTCATTTCATTATTTCATGTCATCTCATCTCATCATTTCATCTCATCATTTCATCTCATCACATCTCATCATTTCATCATTTTATTTCATCATCTCATCATTTCATCTCATTTCGATTTTATTTCAATTTCATTTCACTATTTCATTTCATCTCATCATTTCATCTCACCATTTCATTTCATCATCTCATCTCATCATTTCATTTCATCATTCATCTCATCATCTCATCATTCATCTCATTTCATATCATTTTATCTCATCTATTTCATCTCATTTCATCTCATCTCATTCCATCATTACATCTCATTTCATCTCATTTTATGTCATCATTTCATCACATCTCATCTCATCATTTCATCTCATTTCATCATTTCATCTCATTTCAACTCATTGCATCTCAGCTCATCATTTCCATTTCATTATTCCATTTCATCATTTCATTCATTATGGCATTTCATCTCATCATATTTCATCTCATCTCATCATTTCATCTCATTTTATCTCATCTCATCATTTCATCATTTCATCTCATCATTTCTTCTCATCTCATCATTTCCATTTCATTTTCATTTCATTATTTCATCATTTCATTATTTTATTTCATCTCATTTCATTATTTCATTTCATTATGTCATTTCATTTCATCTCATTACATTTCATCTTTCATCTCATAATTTCATCCATCATTTCATTTCATTTCATCATTTCATCTCATGATTTCATCTCATCTCATTATCTCATTTCATCTCATTATTTCATCTCATTTCATCTCATCTCATTTCCTCATTTCATTTCACCATTACATCTCATCATTTCAACTCATCTCATTTCAATTTCATCATTACATTTCATAATTTCCTTTCATTATTTCATTTCATTTCATCTCATTTCATTATTTCATTTCATCTCATTTTTCATCTCATCATTTTTCATCTCATTTCATTTCATCATTTCATCTCATCGTTCATCTCATCATTTTATCTCATTATTTCATCTCATATCATCTCATTTCAATTTCATTATTTCATATCATTTCATTATTTCATTTCATCTCGTTTCATCTCATTTCATCCATCATCTCATTTCATCTCATTTTATCTCATCTCCTCTCCTTTCAATTTCTTTTCAATTTTGTCATTTCGTCTCATCATTTCATCTCATCATTTCTACTCACCATTTCATCTCAAAATTTCATCTCATCATCTCATCTCATCATTTCGTCATTTCATCTCATCATTTCATCTCAAGTCATCATTTCATCTAAGTGAAATGATGTAATGGAATCATGAAATGAAATGGATAGGATGCCCTCACTGATGTTAAATTTAAAAATTGTTTCTTTTCATGTATGCATTTTTATATTTATATTTACTTATAGTTATTTTTACTTTTTATTTATATTTTTACTTATTTCTTTATTTATAAACAAGGTCCTGTTCTGTGGCCTAGGCTGGAATGCAGTGGTGCATGGTGCATTCACAGTTCACTGAAGCCTCAAGCAAACCTCCCACCTTAGCCTCCCAGGTAGCTGGGACCCCAGGTGCGCACCACCACACCTGGTTAATATTTTATTATTTGCAGAGATGGAGTCTTGCTATTCTGCCCAGGCTGGTCTCAAACTCCTGGGCTCAAGCAATCCTCCTGCATTGGCAACCCAAAATGCTGGGATGCCAGATATGAGCCACAGTGCCCAACCTATTTATTTATTTATTTATTTATTTATTTATTTATTTATTTATTTAATAAAGACAAGGTCTCACTATGTTGCCCAGGCTGGTCAACTCCTGGACTCAAATGATTCTCCAAACTTGGCCTCTCAAAATGTTGGGATTACAGGTATGAGCCACCATGCTTGGCCTAAAAATAGTATTATATTTTTGTATCATATAATTTTCAATTAGGTATTATGAATATTCTGTACAGGAAACACACCCTTAATTACATAGGAATAAACATTTGTTACACTGAGAAAAATCTAATAGAGCTAAAAATAAAAATTAATTTGGAAAGGTCATTAGATACTGATACATTCTTACGTTTATACATTCTTTCATATATTCATATATCCTTTTAACAGTATCAATGGTTTGGAGTTACGTGTACAAAGCCATGACCCATATGTAATACAACTAATAACAGGCACTTACAATTCAAGGCATATTATATACAAAGCTTTAACTTCTTATCAAAATATTTTACTTTTTTCTTTCTGTTTTGGCAGATACTATGAACACAACATTCAACTCACAGACACCATGGAGCCCTTACTAAGCATAAAGTACTGTGAAAGGCCAGGGCTAGGACAGAACTGAGACAGGGCCAGGGATAGGACAGAACTGGGGCAGGGTCATGGCCAGAGAAAAACCAGGGGCAGGGTCACAGCCAGGGACATGAGAGGACCAAGGCCAGGTCCAGAAGCAGGGAAGAACCAGGGCCAGGGCAGGGACATGGCAGGGCCAGGGCCATGGCAGGATCAGGGTCAGCAGAAGGCCAGGGCAGGGCTAGGGTGGCACAGGGCCAAGGCAGGGCAGGGTCAGTGTAGAGCAAGGAACGGGCCAGGGTATGGCAGGGCAGGGACAGGGAGGTCCAGGGCCAGAGTCAGGTCCAGGACCTGGACAGGGCAGGGCCAGAAACATGGCAGGACCAGAAAGGGGACAGGGCAAGGGCAAGGCCAGAGAAGGACCATGGGAAAAACATGGCCAGGGAGGGTCCAGGGCAAGGGCAAGTCCAGGGCAGAACCAGAGCCAGAGCAGGCCAAAGGCAGGGCCAGGGCAGGGCAAGGCCAGGATAGGGCAGGGCCAGTGTAGGGTGAGGGTAGGACCAGGGCGAGTTCAGGGCCAGGGCAGGACTAAGATAGCACAGGGCTAAGGCAGGGCCAAAAGGAGGGGCCAGGGCCAAGCATGGCCAGTGTCAGACCTGGGGATTGTCAGGGTCAGGGTCAAGGCTGGTCCAGGGACAGGGCCAGAGCAAGGGCAGGGCCAGGGAGAAAGCAGAACCAGAGAGGATCCAGAGCAAGGCCAGGGTCAGGGCAGAACCAGGACCAGGATAAGGCAAAGCCAAGGCCAGGGCAGGGCAAGGCCAGGGCAGGGCAACACCAGGGAAGGGCAAGGCCAGGGTAGAAAAGGCCAGGGTAGGGCCAGGCCAGGGTAGGAGAAGGCCATGGTAGGGCCAAGGCCAAGGCAGGGCAGGGCTAGGGTAGCACAGGGCACGGCCAAAAACAGAGCAGGGCCATAGCAGTGGCAGGACTAGCAACAGGGCTAGGGCAAGCGCTGGACCAGAGCATGGTGGGGACAATATAGGGCCAGGACAGAGGATGGCAAGGCAGGTCCAGGGCCATTTCATGGACTCAGTAGGCCTGGGGTCAGGCCAGGGCAGGGCAAAGGCAAGGCCAGGAAGAAGGCAGGGCCAGGGCCAAGGCAGTGCCAGGGCAGGGCAGGACCAGTGCAGGGCCAATGCAGGGTGAGGGCAAGGCCAGGGCATGGAAGGGCAGGGCAGGATCAAGGAAGGGCCAGGAGAGGGCCACGGCAGGGTCATGGCGAGAACAAGGGTATGGCTGGGGTCAGGAATATGGTAGGATGAGGGCTGGGCCCAGGCTGGGGCACGCAGGGCAGAGCATGGTCTGTGCAAGGCATGGCCAGAGCCAGGCCATAGAGATGGGAGGGCAACACCAAGGCAGAGTCAGGGTAGATCCAGGGCTGAGCAGAGTCAGGGCAGGTCCAGAGTCGAGGCAGAGCTAGGGCCCAAGCAGCGCCATGGTAGCACCAGGGCAGAGGAGGGCAGGGCAATGCAGGACTGGGCCATGGCAGTGCCTGGTCAACTCCGGGGCAGGGCCAGAAGCAGGACAGGGCCAGGGCCAATGCTCAGGCCAGGGACAGGACATGACAGGATGTGCCAGAGCAGGGCTGGGCCAACGTTGGGGCAGGGCAAATCAGACCAGGACACCTCCAAGTCCAGCTCTGGCCCTGCCTTGGCCCTGGCCCCTTCCTGGCCTGACCTTGTCCCTGGCCCTGCCCTATCCATGCCCTGTGTGTTTGACCAGTGTTTTATAACCAGAATCCTACAAGAAACTTAAATTAGTTCTTTTTGTGCATTTTTAGTAGAGATGGGGTTTCACAATGTTGCCCAGGCTGGTTCCAAACTCCTGAGCTCAAGCCATCTGCCTGCCTTGGCCTCCCAAAGTGCTGGGATTACAGGAGTAATCTGGCCAAGTATTTACCTTCTTTTTGCCTGTTTCCTACATTTGGAAAATGGGGATGCTTTAAGTACCTAGCATATAGAATTATTATGAGAATCAATGCCTCACATATTTACATGTTGATAAAATTATACTCATAGAACACTACTGGAAGCAAAGATAGTATTAGTTAAAATTTAGTGATTACTGCAAGTATTATTACTATTACAAACAACATAGTATAGACATTACTACTACTATAGTTATCTTAAAAATCTAAAATAAAAATTTTAGTAATAGCCTAAAGTAATCTCTCCTGCTCTGCCCTGGCTCAGCCCTAGTGCCGGCTCTGCCCCTAGTCCTACTACATCCCTGGCCCTGACCCTTCCCTGGTCCAGCCGCTGCCCTGGCCCTTCCCATCTTCAGGCCTTAACATGGCCCTACCCTGGTCCTGACCCTGCCCTGGTCTGGTCCTGACCCTGGCCCTACCCCAGAGAAGGGGTATGGCAGAGCCAGGGAAGGGCCGGGGCAAATAAGGGACAGGACACATCCAAATCCAGGAACGGGCCAGGGCCATGACAGAGCCAGGGCGAGTCCTTGGCAGGGCCAGGTTCCAGGCCAGGACCAGGAAAATGTCATGGCAGGGTCACTGTATGGCCAAGGTCCAGGCCAAAGCCAAGGCAGTGGCAGGGTCAGGTCTGCATAAGGGCAGGACCAGAGCCAGTGATACGGCAGGGCCAGGGCCAGGGCCAGGGCTGTGCCAGGACAGAACAAGAGCAGAGCAGGGCAGGACCACAGCCAGGCCATAGAGAGAGTAGGGCAAATGCCAAGGCAATGCCAGGGTAGTGCCAGGGCTGAGGCAAGGTCAGGGAAGGTCCAGGGCTGAGTCAAGGCTAGAACCAAGATGGGGCAAAGGCCGGGGCAGATCTAGGGCACAAGCGGGGCAGATCTAGGGCACAAGCAGGGCAAGCTAGGGCAGGGCAATGGCAAGACCAGGCCATGGCAGGGCCAGCCCAGGATAGAACAGGGCACAGGCAGGGCAGGGCCAGGGCCACGGCTGGGGCAGGACAAGGACCAGGACCGGGGTCCAGGCCAGGGCAAGGGTATGGCCAGGGCAGAGGTAGGGCCAGAGCCAGGGTCTGGGCAGGACCAAGGCAGGTCTATTGCAGGGCCAGGGTTCAGACCAGGGCCAGAGCAGGGCTGGGACAGGGCCAGGGCCAGAACCAGGAAAGGGCAATGTCAGGACAAGGGCCATGGCAGGACCAGCAACGGGGCTAGGACCAGGACAGGGACAGGGACAGGGTCAGGGCTAGGGCCAGAATAGCATGCCAGGGTAGAGCCAGGCCAAATTAGGGCCAGGGCTGGGCCAGGGTATGGCCTTAAGTAGTGAAGGGCCAGGGCCAGGGTCCATGCCAGTGCCAGTGCCGGTCCAGGGCAGACGCAGGGCCATGGCCAGGTCTAGGACAAGGCTGTGGCAGGGCCAAGGTCTGGGTCAGGGTCAGCATAAGACCAGGACAGAGCCAGGGGAGGGACAGGGCCATGGTAAGACCAGGTTAAACCATGGACAAGACACCTGCAAATCCACTTCAGGGCCAGGGTCAGGGCAGGGCCAGTTCAGGGCCAGGGTAAGGGCTGCCAGGGTCATTGGCAGGGCCAGGGCCATGGCAGGACCAGGGTCAGGAGCAGGGGTCAATGCCAGGCCAAGGCCACAGATAGGACCAGGTCTGTGCTAGGGCCAGTGTGAGGGCCAAGACGGGGTCAGGGCAGGGCCAAAGGGAGGGCAGGGCCAGGGCAGGGTGGAGCAGGCCCAGGGTAGCACAGGGTTAAGGTAGGGCACGACCAACCAGGGCAGGTCTATGGCTGGGGCCGGGGCAGGGCCAGGGCCGGGGCAGGGCCAGAGCCAGGGCAGGGCCAAGACAGTGGCAGCTCCAGGGCAGGGCCAGGGTTAGGACCACGGACATGTCCAAGGCCAGTGCCAGGGCAAGGGCAAGGGCAGGGGCAGGGCCAGGGTCATCTAAGAATTAGGGACAAAGCCAGGCCCAGAGCTGGGCCAGGACCGGTACCTGCAGGGCTAGGGTCTGGGCCAGGGCCACAACCAGGTCTGTGCTATGGCCAGGTCCAACACAGTGCCCTGGTAAGGCTAGGGTGAAGGCCAAGGTAGGGCCAGGGCAGGGTCAAAGCCAGGCTAGGGCCAAGGCAGGGCCAGGAAAGCATAGGGCCAGGGCAGGGCAGGGCCAGGCCAGTGCCAAGACCTGGGCAGGGCCAGGGCCAGGGCCATAGAAACGGCCTGGGCAGGACCAGGTTTGGGGCAGGAGCAAAACAAGGGCAAGGACAGTGCAGGTTCTTGGCACAGCCAGGGTCCAGGACAGTGTCAGGGCAGGGCCAAGGCAGGGTCTGGGCCATGGTAAGACCAGCAACAGGGCTGGGGCTAGGTCAGTGACAGGACCAGAGTCAGGGCAAGGGCCAGAGCAGGGCAAGGCCAGGGTAGGGCCAGGCATTTCAGGGTCAGGGCCATGGGAGAACCAGGGCAAGGTCTCAAGCAGGGAAGGGCCAGGGCCAGGACAGGTCCAGGGCAGGGTCATGACAGGGCCAGGGGCTGCATTAGGGCAAGGGCAGGGCCAGAGCAAGGTAAGGGTCAGGGCCAAGGCTAGGGTAGGGACAGGGCAAGAAATATGGCAGGACCAGGGGCAATGCCAAGGCCAAGGCTGAGTCAGGGCTGAGTCAGGGCAGGGCAGGGCAGGGCATGGTATGGCCAGTGCAGGACAGGACAAGAGCCGGTCCACAGAGAGAGCAGGGCTGATGCCAAGAATGAGCCAGGCTAGTGCCAAGGCTGAGGCAGTGTCAGAGCATGTCCAGGGCAGGGCCGGGGCCAGGGCCAGAACCGAGCCAGGGCACAGCCAAGGCAGGGTAGGGCGGGGAAATAGCGTGGCCGGGTCAGTACTGGGACAGGGCAGAGCAGGGCAAGGCGATGGTAGGGGCAGGGCAGAGACAGGCCAATGCAGAGCCATGTTACACCGGGGCCAGGACACCTCCAAGTCCACTTCAGGGCCAAAGCTATGGCAGGACAAAGACCAGGGCCAGGGTCAGAGCCAGGTCTGTGCTGGGCCTAGCGAAGACTAGGGTGAGGGCCAAGGCAAGGCCAGGGCAGGGTCAAAGGCAGAGTAGAGCCAGGGCAGGGTGATGACACATCCAGAGCACAGCAGGGCAGGGTGATGGCAAGACCAGGGGCAGACCACTGCCAGCTCAGGGCCAGGGAAAGACCAGTGCAGAGCCAGGAAAGGGTCTGGGTCTGGGTCAGGGCCAGGAACAAGGCAGAGCAGGGCCAGGGCCATGGCAGAGTCAGGGCAGGTCCTTGACAGGACCAGGTTCCAGGCCAGGGCCAGGGCAGCAGCAGGGGCAGGGCCTGGATAAGGGCAGGGTCAGGGATATGGCAGGACCAGGGCTAGGGCCAGGGCCAGGCCATAGTGAGGGCAGGGCAAAAGCCAAGGCAGGGTCAGGGCAGGTCCAGGGCAGGTCCAGGAAGCGGCCAGCACCAAGCGGGGCCAAGGCACAACCAGCGCAGGGTAAGGCAGGGCAATGGCACCACTGGGCCATGACAGGGCCAGGTCAGTGCCAGGAGAGGGCAGAACAGGAAGGCCCATGGTGGGGCCAGGGCAGGGATGGGCCAAAGCAGAGCCAGGACATTTCCAAGGCCAGGTCAGGGCCAGAACAGGAGCAGGACCATGACCACTGGCAGGGCCAGTGCCATGACAGGACCAGGGTCAGGACAAGGGGCAGGGCCAGAGCCAGGGCCAGAGCCAAGGTCAGGCCAGTGCAGGTTCAGGGCAGGGCCAGTGCCAGGGCAAGACCAGGGCAGGGACAGGGTAGCACGGGGCCAAGACAGGGTCAGGATGGGACCAGAGCAGGACAGGGCTGAGAGTCCAGGTAACAGTAGGGCAGGTACAGGGCAAGGCAGGGCAGTACAGGGCCAGATCCACGGCAGGCACAGGGCAAAGCCAGGCCCATTGCCAATGCACCAGCCCTCCCTACAAGGCTCCTACCACCTGGCCACTGCTGCAGCCCGTCCATCGCTGTAAGCCTGACTCCCAACCCTGCCTGCAGCCGCCCGCCCTCCTAGCGTGGCCACTCTCCTACCGCTCTGGCGCACTGCAGTCTCCGTCACTGCCACCCACCTGCAGCGAGGTGAGCCGTGGTGTTGCAGGCTCTAGGTGTCTCCTCCTCCTCCTGGCATGGAGCAGCTGGGCGGGCAAAGCCAGAAAAGCCTAGAGGAAGTTGTGAAGAGTGGAAGCGTTAGAGCCTCAAGTTGTCATGCCGGCCACTGGGTGGCAGGGGCCAGTTTCAGCAAAGGCACTCACACCCACCCTCCAAAGTCCAGCCTCTCCTTTTGGCCCAAGCTGGCTGGGAACTGGGGTCTGGGGTGGGTGCTGGAGACACCACAGCACCCAGCTCCCCACTCCACAGGAACCACTGGGCCCACCGGGGCTGCACTCCTCGGGGAACAGGAGAAGCAGAAAAATTCAGACCCAGCCAGCCCTCCGCACCCAGGTGCTAATTCCTGTTCCGGATGCCTCCACACACAGGGCCCTGTTCCCCGTGGTGTCCCCAGGGGTGCCTGGCAGCCTCTGAGGCACAGACCCAGAGTGCACAGGCCCAGGAACCACGGTGGGTGTGGGGGCTCTGCCATGCTCAGGATTCCCATGCAAACGCTGCGTGCCCTGCCGCACTCCAGTATGACCAAGAGTGGTTCGCCCTCTGGAGTGTGGAGTCAGGGAGAGGAGAACCACTCCTTCCTTGGATGCCAACTCTGTTGACTGCCGCCAGCAGTGCAGCCCCTGATAGCACCGAACTCGCCCCCGCTCCACGGCTAGTCCTGCCCTCAATAGCGCCCCCCACCTCCGTCCCCCAATGCCGCCAGTAGCATATACCCGATATGCCCTAACCTGTCCTCCTCCATGGGCATTGCAGCCCCAGAAAGCACCCATAACCCACCCTCCCTGCTGTGGGCAGTGCAGTCCTGTGCAGTGCTACCAACCAGTACCCCTAATGCAGGCAATGACACCCTGGATAGCGCCCCCAACCCACCCCACACTGCGAAAGGTGCAGCCCTGGATAGCCCCTGTCCTACCACTCTGGTCATGCTGCAGTCTCTGTCACTGCCACCACCAACTACAGTGAGGCAAGCCAGTGGGCCGCAGGCTCTAGCTCCCAGCAGCCAGGCATGGAGCAGCTCTCGCTGATGGCCGGCTCCTACCACACTGACCATGCTGCTGTCTGTCTCCGTGGCAATCTTCTTTCACTACAAAGAAATAAAACTAGGTATCAATAAGAAAAGTAATTTTGGAAACAATACAATCACATGGAAGTTAAACACTACCCTCCTGAATAAATGACCTGAATAAATAAAGGTCAATGAAGATACTAAGACAGAAATTCAAAAATTTCATGAAACAAAGGGTAATGAAAACACAGTATACCAAAACTTGTTACGCAGAAAGCAGTACAAAGGCAGAGATTTACAGCTATAAGTGCCTACCATCCAAACAAAAGAAAAACTTCAAATAAACAATACATCTTAAAGAACTAGTAAAGTAAGAACAAACTAAACCGAAAATAAGAAAATAAATAAGATCGTAGCAGAAACAAAATTGAAATAAAAAACACACAAGATTAAACGAAAAGTTGGTTTTCTGGAAAGCTAAACAAAATTGACAAACTTTTAACCAGCCTAAGAAAAGAGACAAGATTCAAATAAATAAAATCAACAGATTAAAAAAAGGAGACATTACAACTAATACTTCAGAAATTCAAAGGATCATAACTGGCTATTATATGCCAATAAATTGGAAAGCCTAGTAGAAATTGGCAAATTCCTAGATGCATACAACCTACTTAGGTTAAACAATGAAAACATCCAAGACCAGAACAGATTGGTAACAAGTAATGAGATTGAAGCCATCAGAAAAAGTCTCCCAGTAAAGAAAAGCCCAGGAACTGATGATGTCTTCACTGCTGATGGCTTCATACCAAACAATTTAAAGACCTAGTACAAATCCTGCTCAAATTATTTTGAAAAACAGGAGGGAATACTTCCAAACTTATTCTATGAGACCATTATTACTGTGATACGAAAATCAGATAAAAGCATCAAAGAAGAAAACTACAGGACAGGATCTCTAATATTGATGCAAAAATCCTCAACAGAATACCAGTGAATCAAATTCAGTAATACATTAAAAAGATAATTCATCATGATCAACTGGGATGTATCCCTGGAATGCAAGAGTCACTCAACATACAATGTGATACATCATATCAACCAAATAAACGACAAAAACTGTATGATCATGTCAACTGAAACCAAAAAAGCATATGAAATTCAACATCCCTTCATGCTATAAATCCTCAAAGAAACAGGCACAGAAGAAACATACCGCAACATAATAAAAACTACAGGAAAGACACCCACAGCTAGAATCATATGGAATGGGGAAAAATGGAAAGCTTTTCCTCTAAGATCTGGAACATGATAAGGATGCCCCCTGTCACCACTGTTGTTTAACATAGTACCAGAAATCCTAGCTAAAGCAATCAGTGCAGCCCCTGATATGGCCCCCAACCCACCCTGCCCCCTACCACCAGCAGTGTCGCCCCCCCCCAATAGCACACCCAACATACCCTAACCGCCCCGCCTCCCCGCACCATGGGCATTACAGCAGCCCATAGCGCCCTCAACCCAAAACCGCCACCCCCCCCCCACAGCCACACAGTGCAGCCCCAGATAGCACACTTAACCCACCTCACTGTTGCCAGCAATACAGTCTGGGATAGTGCCCCCAACCGGCTCCCCGCCAAAGGCAGTGCAGCCCCGGTTTGAGCCCCCAAACCGCCCCCCCCCCCGCCCCCGGGCAGGCAGCACAGCCCCAGATAGCACACCCAACCAGCCACCCAAGACGGGCAGTGACGCCTGAGATAGGGCTCCCAACCCGTCCCAGGCCACCAGCAGTGCAGCCTGGATGGCGCACTTACCCCAATGCCTTTCTACACTGGCTGGCTGCAGTGTCCATCGCTGCCACCAACCACAAACATGGCTGCAAACAGGAAGGATTTTATTCACCGTCGATGCGGCCCCGAGTTGTCCCAAAGCGAGGCAGTGCCCCAAGGTCTATGCAGAGCAGAACGCAGCTCCGCCCTCGCAATGCTCTCCGGGTCTGTGCCGAGGAGAACGCAGCTCCGCCCTTGCAAAGGCACACAGCGCCGGTGCCGGCGTGGCGGAGAAGCGGACAGCGGCGGAGAGGCGGTCGGCGGCGGCGCGGCGGAGAGGCGGTCGGCGGCGGCGCGGCGGAGAGGCGGTCGGCGGCGGGGCGGCGGAGAGGCGGTCGGCGGCGGCGCGGCGGAGAGGCGGTCGGCGGCGGCGCGGCGGAGGCGAGGCGGGCGGCGGCGGCGCGGCGGAGGCGAGGCGGGCGGCGGCGGCGCGGCGGAGGCGAGGCGGGCGGCGGCGGCGAGGCGGGCGGCGGCGGCGAGGCGGGCGGCGGCGGCGCGGCGGGCGGCGGCGGCGCGGCGGGCGGCGGCGGCGCGGCGGAGAGCGGAGAGCGGCGGAGAGGCGCACAGCCGCGGAGAGGCGCACAGCGGCGGAGAGGCGCACAGCGGCGGCGCAGGCGCGGAGAGGCGCAGGCCCAGGCTCCACTCCCCAGCTCTGAAAACTCATCCTGGTCAGAGTTCAGAAGGACATGTGGAGTATAAGGTCAGATGCGGAGATAAAGGGAGATGGTGTGGCCCTCCTGCCTGGGGGTGCTGAGCAGGTTGCTGGAGGCGGTGATCTCACTCTGAAGGAGACAGACACAGAAATGTGTGTACAGTTGATGGTGAGCATCTGAGTTGCGTCTTGTTAGTGAGGCCAGGAGTGCCTGTGTAAGCTGGAACAGATTAGGTATATGATTTGTGAAACGGAGTTTCATCCTAGATCTTCATCTAGTCAAAGGACTGTTTCCTGATTAGGCATTAGCTTAGTGGTTGCTAGTCTGTGTTGACCTTTGAAAGGCATGACTAGGCTAACTGAAGTTTCTGCTTCACACCATTTACAATTTAAAATTACCTAGAGCCTTGTGGGCCATTGGAAGAGACTGAATGTTTCACTCTGAAATGGGAGTCCTTGGAGGGTTTTGAGCAGAGGAGAGACATTCAGGTAATCAGATCACTCTGCCAAGACATCAGTCCGGTAGAGATCAGTCCGGTGGCACAAACCAGAGGGCTAGCAGTGGAGATGAGACAAAGAGTCAAACCCGGATAGAGTTTATTTGGAAGCTGGGTCAGTAGGATCTCCTGGTGGACTGAATGTGGGGTGTGTGAGGAAATGAGGATGGCGACTGGAAGTTCCTGGAAGGATGGGTTGTTGCAGGTTAGATAGGAAACTGTCTGCAGATGCAGTTTTGGGAAGATGATGTTTGTTTCGGCTGGGTATCATGCAGACAAGCGGAGTGTCAAGTCTGGAGAGACAGGTCTGGCCAGGGACTTAGATGTACAGCCCTCAGCATGTAGATGCCACTTAACTCTGTGAGGTGGCCGGGGAGTGAGTGCAGAGTGACTGGGAGGAGCAAGACTGGCATGGGCGAGATGGGGCGATTGCGGCCGTGAGGCCTGAGCAGTGCCTAGGAGGGAGAGGGAGAAGCAGTGTGAGCCTGCAGGCACGCAGGAGTCCAGTTGTACACGGAGGCGAAACACTGTTCAGATCCCGCTGCAGTGTTAACTATGGTAAAGGCAGAGTTGACCACCGGAGGAGTCCTTCAGCGTGGAGGCCTTCAGCGATCTTGGCAAGCACCAATTTTCATGGATGTAGGAGAATGGGAGCAGAGGAACTGGAGGCTGCAACTGTGGAAAACTTTTGTGGGGTTTTGCTGCAGAGAGAAGCAGAGAAATGAAGCAGTTTTTGGTGGAAGAAGTGGAATCAAAAGGTTTTGAGATGAGAGAGAGAACAGAGGGAAGAGCTGTTGGAATAAAGTCCAGGAAGAGTGGATGGTGTCTAGTGAGCAAGTGATGTGTGGCCCTGAGTAGAGGCATGGACAAATCATCTGTGCCTGAGCTGCCCGTAGAACTTTCTGTGATCATGGAGATGCACATCTGTGCTTCCCAATATTGTAACACTGGCCACAGGTTGATATGGACCACTTCCAGTGTGACTAGTGTGATTGAGGAACTGCATTTTAAATATTATGTAATTGTAATTAATTTTAATTTAAATAGCCACACATAGCTCCTCTATGGGGCAGGTCAGAGCTCTGATAAGGCTGGATATGGGAGGAAACCCTGGTATAGGGTTGACCGTAGAGGTTCTTTTGGTTTTGGAGTGAATCAGGAAACAGCCATCAGCTGAGTGAAGGTGAGGGTGGTGGTGGGTGTTTGAAGACAAGGGAAAAGTGTGAAAGAATTATTTGGAGAGGAAGGAAAGAAAGTGTGGACTGGGGATGTTTCCAATGTTTGAGCACGCAGGGCTCCACAGTTATCTACATTTGCTGTCCCTTGGAGCAGGAGAGAAGAAAATGGTTGGGACATATTCTGAACAGACTGTAGAGGTAAAATGTGTAGGGTTTTTTTTGTTTTTTTTGTTTTTTGAGATGGAATCTCGCTCTATTGCCCAGGCTGGAGTGCAGTGGCACGATCTTGACTCACTGCAACCTCCGTCTCCCAGGTTCAAGCGATTCTCTCACCTCTGCCTCCTGAGTAGTTGGGACTACAGGCACGCACCACCATGCCCAGCTGATTTTGGTATTTTTAGTAGAGACAGGGTTTCACCATGTTGGCGAGGCTGGTTTCAAACTCCTGACCTCATGTGATCTGCCCGCCTCGGCCTCCCAAAGTGCTGGATTACAGGCATGAGCCACTGTACCCGGCCAAATGTGTAGTATTTTTAATAGGATAAAGCCTACATAATTCTGTCCACAGTTCCTTTACTTAGAAATTGCTCATTTGTTCATGTTAATCCTATGTTTATTACAAATAACAGCATACAGGTTCCCCCCCCCCCACCCCATCATGTACAGCTGAATCACGTAGAATTTGAAGATCAAGATGATGAAGCCAGAGTTCAGTATGAGGGTTTTCGACCTGGGATGTATGTCCGCGTTGAGATTGAAAATGTTCCCTGTGAATTTGTGCAGAACTTTGACCCCCTTTACCCCATTATCCTGGGTGGCTTGGGCAACAGTGAGGGAAATGTTGGACATGTGCAGGTGGGTCCCTTTGCTGCGTATTTGGTGCCTGAGGCTCTGTGGATTTCCCCTCCATCAATCATCTTACCCTCTCATCCCCCTCAGATGCGTCTGAAGAAACATCTCTGGTATAAGAAAATCCTCAAGTCCCAAGATCCAATCATATTTTCTGTAGGGTGGAGGAGGTTTCAGACCATCCTGCTCTATTATATCGAAGACCACAATGGAAGACAAAGGCTTCTAAAGTATACGCCACAGCATATCCATTGTGGAGCCGCCTTTTGGGGTAAAATATGATTACAATAACTTGCCTATTGCCGAGATTAAACTTTACAGGCTGTGTTATTTTAGCTTTGTGCTTTTCCTTTCATAAAATTCCACTCCTAAGATGTTTCTCTTTTCTGGGAGCGGGGAGGTGGTTTGGAGTATATATGTACATCTATATCCAAATCTAAGTGTCCATATCCAGTATGTTAAACTAGAATCTAAAATTTCTGGTTTGCTATATTTCTTTTTTTCCTTTTCCTTTAAGACCCTATCACTCCACAGGGAACTGGTTTCTTGGCAATACAGTCTGTCAGTGGCATAATGGTAACTATCTTGGATGATTTCTTTTACAGATTGGTTTGAGAAATATATCCTGAATGTGGGTTATTATGTACATGAGACTTTAAGTTGAAAATTACTCATTTTTATTAATATAAAGTAAATTTCCCTTTGCTTTTAATCTTCGTACATCCTTTTCAGTAGGGTGTGGGATTAGAGGAGGGGAGGTGGAAGAATTATAATGGTACATTTCCTATTTTTATGCATCTTTTGCATTTATTTAACCAAGCAAGTATTTAAGCAGTGCTCACCATGTGCTAAGCACTATATGAGGTTATGAGGAGCCGTCAGAGACCACCCAGACACAAGACTCCCTGCAGCTGTGCTGGGGTAGCAGTCTGTTCACTCCATTTTCATTTGACCAGTCAGGCAGGGCAGGGTTTACTGGTCCCATTTAACAGAGAAGAAAGCAGAATAATGAGCAGATGGAATCTTCCCTGGAGGTCCAAATTTTAATTTCCTAAACATTGCAACTGTATTTTTCTTTTCCATTTCGTTCCAAATAAATCATTATAGTAAAATTACATTCCTCTGAAATCACTCTCAGGAAAGTACTCAAGTAGCCTTTTTTTTTCTTTCTTTTTTTTTTTTTTTTTTTTTGAGACCGAGTCACACTCTGTCTTCCAGGCTGGAGTGCAGTGGCACGATCTTGGCTCGCTGCAACCTCTGCCTCCTGGGTTTAAGCGGTTCTCCTGCCTCGGCCTCCCGAGTAGCTGGGATTACAGGTATGCACCATCATGCCGAGCTAATTTTTGTATTTTTAGTAGAGACGGAATTTCGCCATGTTGGCCAGACTGGTTTCAAACTTCTGACCTCAGGTGATCCACCTGCCTTGGCCTCCCAAAGTGCTGGGATTACAGGTATGAGCCACTGTGCCTGGCCTCAAGTCACCCTTGTTAGTTTGGCTTACCAACTTTAAAGTTTTGGATTGCTTTTGTCAAACCAATGGGTTGCAAGTTCAGATGGTCTCTCTTGTTTTTCTTAACTAATTGTAAGTAAAATTCACTTTGGTAATTTATTGTGTCACATAGAATTGAAGTTTTTCTCTTGCTAATATTATTCCTATTTTCAAATTTTGGGGCTCCTGTTAGCCTGATTTTCAGATAGCTGCCACAGGAGTTGTCCTTGATCTGGATAAATCCATAAAAATTGTGAAGAAATTAAAGCTAACTGGTTTTCCATATAAAATTTTCAAGAACACTTCATTTATTAAGGTCTGTATATCTATATATTCTCATATTTATAAATGTCCATATTGTTTGAGAAAAGGAATGAAATACCTCTAAAATGTGGGCCTCTTATTTTTAGAAAAGTGTTTGAAATCTTTTATAAACTTCATATTTTGTTTGCTCCTTTATATTCTGTATTACTTAAATATGCTCAAAAAAGCAGTGGTAAACAGCTATTTAGGAATTGAGGCTGTTACTCCTGACTTCCATGTGAGACTGCCACAGAACTCATATTGAAAATATGTCATTTTATCCACTAGGTTTTGTTTCCTACTTTTTAAATTGGTGTTAAGAAAGGGAAAAAAATCACAAGTTTGTCTAACTCAGTAGAAAAATCGACAAAGCATTTGCAGACAACTTGGCAAGGGTACAGAGAAACGGATGTACTGTTTTTCAGTATTTTGGGAGGGTGGTTTGAGCAGCATTTATTGACAATTTCATTAGTGGGGATGTTTCTATTGAAAACAGAGTTAGGAAGTCATAAAATGTTCTTGCAATATAAGGTAATAATACCACTGGCGTTTATCTTACTGTTTTCATGTTCTAAGTGCATGCATCTGAGTAAAAGGATCTGGGCTGCAGTCCAGTCTGAGAGATGCCAGCAAAGGCTTCCTAGGCCAATTCAGTCCAGTAAATCCCTCTTCGATCTTCTCTTCCACACAGACAGCAGTGATGAGCATGCCCATGAACTCACATGATTATTTTGGGGAAAATGAAAGAGTTGTATTCTTTTTGAGGTAGTAATTCCACTTTCAGGGGCAAATACATTTTGATTATTTTATCACCCTTCAGTGAGTTGTTTTTGTTCTTTAATCACGGATGTATGTTTGAAGTAAGAAGTAAAGCATAAAGTATATGATTTTGTGTGTGTGTGTGTTTTTATCTTGCTATACCTGTAGGGAATGTTTAATTCTGCCTTGGAAGTGGCCAAATTTGAAGATGCTGTGATTCGAACTGTCAGTGGGATAAGGGGGCAGATCAAGAGAGCACTCTGAGCTCCAGAAGGAGCTTTCCAGGATAGCTTTGAGGATAAGCTGCGGATGAGCGGTGAGTGTCTTAAGTAGTGTTCAGGGCAGGGTGTTACCATTCATGCTTGACTTCTAGCCAGTGTGACGAGAGGCTGGAGTCAGGTCTCCAGAGAGTTGAGCAGCTCCAGCCTTAGATCTCCCAGTCTTATGCAGTGTGCCCATTTGCCTTGTGTCTGCAGTCCCCTGGCCACACCCAGTAACAGTTCTTTGATCTATGAGAATAGTTTCCTTAGCGAGCTTTCCCTTCAAATACTTTGCAGTCAGGTAGAGAAGTTTGGAGTGAAGATTTTGTTCTTTGTTTCTTCACAATATGGATATGAATCTTCTTTTGAAAACGTTAAAGTAAATTACCTCTTTTCAGATATTGTCTTCATGCGAACTTGGTATCCTGTTTCCATCCCAGCCTTCTATAACCCAGTAACATCTTTGTTGAAACCAGTGGGTGAGAAAGACACCTGGTCAGGAATGTGGACCACGGGCCAACTCAGGCTCGCCCATGGTGTCAGACTAAAGACAAACAAGGACTCTCTGTATAAGGTACTGGTCGTGTGTGTGTTAGTGGAGATGAAGCCTGTGCTCTACAGACAGGGAGTCACACAGACACTTTTCTATAATTTCTTACATACTTTGAATGTTCAAGTATAAAGTCTAATGTTAAATTTGATTGAACAATTGTATATTTGTGGGATATTTTGGAATGGAACACCAAAAAATGGTAATAGTGGTTCTTTCTGGATTGAAGGAAAACTTTTCTTTTTTAAAATAAATTTTATTTTATATATTTGAGGTTGACAACATGATCTTAAAGGATACATATAGATAGTAAACTGGTTACTATAGTGAAGCAAATTAACATAGCTACCATCTCACATAGTTAGATTTTTGTTTGTGTGACAGGAACAGCTAAAATCTACTTATTTAACAAAAATCCCAAAGACAATATATTTTTATTAACTATAGCCCTCATGATGTACACTAGATCTCTAACTTGTTCATCCTACATGTCTGCTACTTTGTATTATTTTAATGTACATCTCCCCATTTCCTATTGGTCATTTCCTATTTGGCCCATTTTTCAACTGGGTTGTTTTTCTGCTCTTAAGTTGTAAGAGTTCTTTACTGATTTTTGGATATTAACACTTTATCAGATATGTGGTTTGCAAATATTTCTTCCAGTCTGTAGGTTCCCCTTTCATTTTGTTGGTTGTTCCTTTGCTGTGCAGAAGCTTTTTAGTTTGATGCAGTCCTCCTTGTTTATGTTTACATTTGTAGCCTGGCTTGTGGTGCGATATCCAAAAAATTATTGCTAAGGCCAATGTCAAGAGGCTTTCCCCCTATGTTTTCTTCTAGGAGTTTTATGGTTTCAGGTCTTATTTGGGTCTTTGGTCTTGTATCTGTTTTGAGTTGATTTTTGTGTATGGTGTATGATCAGGGTCCAATTTTATTCTTTTGCATGTGAAAATCCTATTATTGAAGAGACTATCTTTTTTACCATTGTGTTGTCTTGTTTGCCCTTGTCAAAAATTAGTTGACAGTATATGTTTGGATTTATTTCAAAGGTCTCTGTTA
Source organism: Homo sapiens (assembly GCF_000001405.40). Lineage (NCBI taxonomy): Eukaryota > Metazoa > Chordata > Mammalia > Primates > Hominidae > Homo > Homo sapiens. The sequence continues at coordinate 65,188,962 of NC_000009.12, read as the reverse complement.
CGTTCCATTGGTCTATTTTTTTGTTTTTATGCCAGCACCATACTGTTTTGATTACTATAGCTTTGTAATGCAATTTTAAATCAAGAGGTGTGATGCCTCCAACTTTTTCTTTCACAGTGATCTGTTGGCTGTTTGGGGTTTTTTGTGGTTCCATATGAGTTTCAGGATTGTTTTTTCTTTTCTTTTCTTTTTTTTTTTTTTTTGAGGGGAAGTCTCACTCTGTCACCCAAGCTGGAGTGCAGTGGCATAATCTCGGCTCACTAAAACCTCTGCCTCCTGGATTCAAGCAATTCTTCTGCCTCAGCCTCCCAGGTAGCTGGGACTACAGGCACATGCCACTATGCCCGGCCAATTTTTGTAGTTTTAGTAGAGACAGGGTTTCACTATGTTGGCCGGGCTGGTCTCCAACTCCTGACCTCATGATCCACCCGCTGCAGTCTCCCAAAGTGCTGGAATTACAGGCGTGAGCCACTGTGCCTGGCCAGGATTGTTTTATTCTGTTCTGTGAAGAATGTCATCAGAACTTTGAGGAGGATTGTGTTAAATCTGTATATTTGCTTTGGGTAGTGTGAACATTTTAACAATATTAATTCTTCTGATCCATAAACATAGGATGTCTTTTCATTTGTTCATGTCTAAATTTCTTTCATCAATGTTTTATGGTTTTTAAGTGTACACATCTCTCACCTTCTTGGTTAAATTTATTCCTAAGTTTTTGTTTTTCTTTGATGCTATCGTAAATGAGATTATTTTCTTGATTGCTTCATCAGCTAGGTTATTTGTATACAGAAATGCAACTGATTTTTATATGTTGAGTTTATACCTTGCAGCTTAACTGAATTGATTTAGTAGTTCTCACAGTTTTTTGTGGACTCTTTGGAGTTTTTTACGTAAAGGATCTTGTCATCTGCAAATAGAGATAATTTTACTTCTTTAATTTAGTTGCCTTTTTTTTCTCATCTGATTGCTCTTGCAAGTACTCTGTTGAATAAAAGTGATGAGGCTGGCCATCCCTATCTTGTACTCAATCTTAGTGGAAAAGCTTTAGTTGTTCCCCACTAACTATGATTAGACTGTGGGTTTTTCATAAATGGTGTTTATTATGTTGAGGAACTTTCCTTCTATACATAAACTATTAAGAGGTTTTATCAAGAAATGTTGCTAAACTTTGTTAAATGCTTTTACTGCATCAATTGAGGTGACCATGTCATTTTATCTTTCATTTTGTTAATGTGATGTATCACATTGATTGATTTACATATTTTAAACCAGCCTTGCATGCCAGGGATAAATCCCACTTAAACACGATGTATAATGTTTTTGATGTGTTGTTGAATTCTATTTGCTAAAATTTTTTTAGGATGTTTGCATCAGTATTTAATTTATTGGAGAAGTTGACCTGTAGTTTTTGTTCGGTGTGTGTGTGTGTGTGTGTGTGTGTGTGTGTGTGTGTGTGTGTGTTTTGGTTTGGCTTAGGTATTAAGGTGATACTGGCCTGGTAAAATGTGTTTGGAATTATTTCCTCTCACTCTGTTTTTGCGAAGAGTTTAAGAAGTAAACTCCCAGGGGATGGGAGTGACTCTGGACATGGGAGTGACATGATAGTGACTCTGGACCCTGCAGTGGTGGGACACAGCAGCATCTCAGTCTCTGAAAGGCCAGGCACAGCATCAGCAAGGACCCCAGAATGGTGGAGCACTACTGTGGCTTGAGCCCTCGGGGGCAGGGACCAGTACAGCAACTACTTCTCTCCCTGGGGAGGCAGGTGCCTGGGCAACTCAGATTCTCCAGGGCTAGTCCAGTTCCAAGGAAGCAGGGTTCTACAGTTGTTTGTCCTGAAGGGCAAGGTACCCCAGTTCAGCCAATGCCGTTTTCCTGGGATATGGGGGTGCCATGTTGGCTCATCCCTGGCAGGTGTGGCTGCTCAGCTCAGCCAAGACACTGATTCCCTGTGAAGCAGGGCAGTGCTTCAGCTCTCATGCAGTGGGGGGTGTGACTGCTTAGACTGGCCAAGACACTGATTCCCTGGAAAGCAGGGCACCAAGTCAGCTCAGGCTCCAAGGGGCAGGGAGCAATGGCAGCTGGGAGGGGAGGGGCACAGCAGCGTGGCCCCGCAGGTGGGGTGTATGCTGTGATGTGGACATCATTTGTTCCCACCAGCCATTTGAAATTTCATCCATTTGAAATTTGATTTCAAATGTGGTGGTGTGGGAGGTGGGGCCTAGTGGGAGTTATTTGAGTCACAGGGCAGATCCTTTATGAATAGATTAATGCCTTTTCATGGGACTGGATTAGTTACCAGGAGTGGATTGTTATCAGAGTGAGTTCAGCTTCCTAGACTCTTGTGTTTCCTCTCTTGCCATGTGAGCCCCTTGCATACACCTGTTTCGCCTTCCACTTTCCCCATGAGATGAAGCAGCACAAGACCCTCACCAGTTGTGCTGCCCGATCTCGGACTTTTTAGACACAAGCAGGGTGAGCCAAATAAACCTTTTTTATAAAATAAGTTACCCCGAGTCTCAAGTATTCTGTTACAGCCACACTAAATGGCCTAAGACAGTGTAACAGCGGCTCGGGGGTGGTGGGCCACTAGGTGGGTGTGATATAGAGCAACAAAGCCTGAGGATGGAAGAAGGGTGCGGTGGCTGCTCACCCTGGGTGGGACATGCTCCCGAAGTGGTCCAGGTCCAGGAGGGCACGTTGCAGCAGCAGCTGGTCCATGGGGGTGGGGCACAATGTCAGTTCCTTCTCTGAGGGGAGTGCTGGGGCTACTGGGCCCCTCTTGCTTCCTTATTCCTGCAGGGAGACATCCCCTCTGCTTCAGGCTGATCCCTCTGGGGGAATGGGTGGTGGGTGCCAGATGTTTCCTTCCCTCCTTTATGTGACCGTCCTGTTTTCCGGGCTCTACTGGATTTCTGCTACTCCTTGATGCACTCTGGGGCTCTCCTTTAGTGACTTTCATCAAAATATAGCTGTTTGCTGCTTTGGCTGTCTTTGTCAGGGGATGAGTGCAAGGGGCTATTGATCAGCCCTTAGCTGGCATCACTCCCTCTTAAACTTTTCACTGGATACTCTTTTGAACTGTTTTTTTCCCCCACCATATACATGTATTTTTTAAACGTTAATGTGCTAATTTCTACTGAAGCAATGTGGATTTTTCTGAAAGCTTTAATGTTTTAATAAGCTTTTTATTGAAATGTTAATGTACATACAGAAGAGTGCCCGAATCATAAGTGTGCATCTAGATGAACTGTAGCACACCAGGCTGCCACGCCCTGGACCAAGCAGTAGCCTTGACCTGTGGCCTCTCCCAGGCACTGCTGCCCCAACCCACAAAATAGCTACTTTCCCAGTTCCTGATGTAGATTTGTTCTGCCTGGTTTTGACTTCTATAAAATACAGCACATTCTATTTAGCCTGGCTTCTTTGGTTCAGTATTACAGAACACATCCATGTTCTTGTCTATGGCAGACATTGATTTATCGTCATTGTTGAGTTCCATTATATGACTGTGTCACCATTTTTCCATTGATGAGTAAAATGATTTCCTATTTTTGGCTGTTATCCCACGGCCCTGAACAGTAGGTCTGCATATGGGACTTGCAGGTATGCAGGGGCACACCCACTTCTGCTGGAGGATCCCTGGGTGGGGTGGAGACTCCAGGGCACCTGTGCTCTGCTTCAGTGTGGAGGCTTCTGTGTTGTGTTCTGGGAGCACAGTGGCTTGGCCTCCGCCACCAGCAGCAGCTTGAAGAGTTCCTGCTGTTCCACATGGTTGCCAACAATTGGCCTCTTCAGTTTTTTTTTTTTTTTTTAGGTTTTCAGTGCCTGCCTGGACTTGTGTTTTCATTTAGATTTTGGTTTCTTAGAACTTTCGTTATTCTCTTCACAGCTTAACAATGCATTTGAAAAGATTTGTTTTCATGTGGAGTATTCAGTTTTGTAATAGGAGGGTTGTTCAAGGCATCAGTCTGCCACTCTGCTAGAAACAGAATTCTCCCAGGCATTTCTTTTTATATAAAGTAGTTAATGAAATTTTGAACCATCTTACATGAATTTTTATTAAAATACACTTCAGGATGTGGTGCCCATTATCCATTCTACTCTTTTGTAACAAGTAGATTTCTCTGAATTCTTGAATTTGAAAACAATTGGGGTTCCTAAACAGAGAATATGGAATATTATTGGGGATGATGTCTTTAATAATACATCTCAAGATAGGAGAAACTTTTTCTATATAGTTGACTTTAATAAAAGCCTAGGGCAAAACTTTCAATATATTAACAGTATTTATGAGGCAGTTAAGAATTTGGGTCATCTCTGTCTCCACTAAAAATACAAAAAGTTAGCCAGGTGTGGTGGCGGGTGCCTGTAGTCCCTGCTACTTGGGAGGCTGAGGCAGGAGAATGGTGTGAACCCGGGAGGTGGAGGTTGCAGTGAGCCGAGATCATGCCACTGCACTTTAGCCTGGGCAACAGAGCGAGACTGCGTATCAAAAAAAAAAAAAAAAAAGAATTTGGGTCATCTCAATTAAACATAGAATTTAAGATTACATTGAAAATTCAGTACAGAGTATTTTGCCTTCATCTGTTGTTTGAGTCTCCCTTCTTTCAGCCATCCTTCCATCAGAAATAGAATACCAAGTTAAACTTCTTAATTAGAATCAGGAATCAGGACTCTTTGGCTGCTGATTGAAGGAAGAACTGTCCTTAAATCCAGAGTGGGCCGGGCATGGTGGCTCATGCCTGTAATCCTAGCACTTTGGGAGGCCAAGGCAGATGGATCACCTGAGGTCAGGAGTTCAAGAGCAGCATGACCAACATGGTGAAACCCCATCTCTACTGAAAATACAAAAATTAGCCGGGCGTGGTGGTGTGTGCCTATAGTCCCAGATACTTCGGAGGCTGAGATAAGAGAATTGCTTGAACCTGGGAGGTGGAGGTTATGTGAGCCAAGATCACGCCACTGCACTCTAGCCTGGGTGACAGGGCGAGACTCCATCTCAAAAAAAAAAAAAAAAAATCCAGAGTGGTTGGTAGTCAAGACAAAAAGCTAGATTATTTTTGTTAGTCTGGGAACTAAAAAAAATAGTTGTAACTTTGAAGCCTTTTTATGGATCAACATGAAGATTGAGGGATCTCAAACAGAAAGGGCATCCTGGTGGCAAAGGTTAATCATTACCAGACTGCAAGAGTAGTTTCAATGGCAAGAAAGCAGCAACAGAATCAATGAAAACAAAGCAATGATTAGAATGCCCTTTCCCCTTCTCCTCCTGACTTGTAGACACTGATTGTCTTCCTTGGACTTAGGGAACCCCTTAGGTTCTTGAAAAATTCAATGATCAGGCTATAGTAGATGGTCCCCAGTACACAGCACAAGATTTTTTGATAAACTGGACATTTTGAAACCCAAATAACTAATTAGAAAAATCAAACATGTGAAACTACTTTATCCCATGCATAGGGGTTATACTGGAAATAAAATGTACAACATTGGAATCCTGAAGGAGAAAAGTCCTAAAAGTTTCAATATCAAGAATCCTGCACCTGCTGCTACTTATCTAGCCTTTTGCTTGATTTCTGGCTGATGAACTTGCACAACTCTTGAAAACTTAAAAACTTGAAAATTTGTCACTTGAAAACTACTTGAACCAAACTATGAAATCTCACCTGATATATAAGATGCAATTGTTACAATTATTTTAAACTTCAATTTACTGTTTTGCTCTATCAAAAGAAAGTTTCAACTCTGTTAGTTGAGTACACACATCGTAAACAAGTTTCTGAGAATGCTTCTGTCTAGTTTTTATGGGAAGATATTTCCTTTTTCACCTTAGGCCTCAAAGCGCTCCAAATGTCCACTTACAGATTCTACAAAAGGAGTGTTTCAAAACTGCTCAATCGAAATTAAGGTTCCACTCTGCGAGATGAATGCACACATCACAAAAACTTTGTCAGATTGCTTCTGTCTAGTTTTGTGTGAAGATATTTCCTTTTCCACCACAGGCCTCAAAGCTCTCCAAATGTCCACTTGCAGATTCTACAAAAGGAGTGTTTCAAAACTGCTCTATCGAAAGTTAAGTTCAACTCCATGAGATAAATGGCAACTCCATGAGATAAATGACAAATAAGCTTGTCAGAATGCTTCTGCCTAGTTTTAATGTGAAGATATTTCCTTCTCCACCATAGGCCGCAAAGTGCTCCAAATGTCCACTTGCAGATTCTACAAAATGAGAGTTCTCAAAACTGCTAAATTAAAATAAAGTTTCAGCTCTGTGAGAGGAATGCACACATCACAAAGCAGTTTCACAGAATGCTTCCATCTAGTTCTTAAATGAAGATACTTCCTTTTCCACCATAGGCCAAAAAGCGCTCCAAATGTCCACTTGCAGATATTACAAAAAGAGCTTTTCAAAACTGCTCAATGTCTGTTCATGTCCTTCACCCACTTTTTGATGGGGTTGTTTGTTCTTTTCTTGTAAATTTGTTTGAGTTCATTGTAGATTCTGGATATTAGCCCTTTGTCAGATGAGTAGCTTGTGAAAGTTTTCTCCCATTTTGTTGGTTGCCTGTTCACTCTGATGATAGTTTCTTTTGCTGTGCAGAAGCCCTTTAGTTTAATTAGATCCTATTTGTCAATGTTGGCTTTTGTTGCCATTGCTTTTGGTGTTTTAGACATGAAGTCCTTGCCCATGCCTATGTTCTGAATGGTAATGACTCGGTTTTCTTCTAGGGTTTTTATGCTTTTAAGTCAAAAGTTTAAGTCTTTAATCCATCTTGAATTGATTTTTGTGTAAGGTGTAAGGAAGGGATCCAGTTTCAGCTTTGTACATATGGCTAGCCAGTTTTCCCAGAACCATTTATTAAATAGGGAATCCTTTCCCCATTTCTTGTTTTTCTCAGGTTTGTCAAAGATCAGATAGTTGTAGATATGTGGCGTTATTTCTGAGGGCTCTGTTCTGTTCCATTGATCTATATATCTGTTTTGGTACCAGTACCATGCTGTTTTGGTTACTATAACCTTCTAGTATAGTTTGAAGTCAGGTAGTGTGATGCCTCCAGCGTTGTTCTTTTGGCTTAGGATTGACTTGGCGATGCGGGCTCTTTTTTGGTTCCATATGAACTTTAAAGTATTTTTTTCCAATTGTGTGAAGAAAGTCATTGGTAGCTTGATGGGTATGGCATTGAATGTGTAAATTACCTTGGGCAGTATGGCCATTTTCACGATATTGATTCTTCCTACCCAAGAGCATGGAATGTTCTTCCATTTGTTTGTATCCTCTTTTATTTCCTTGAGCAGTGGTTTGTAGCACCTCCTTGAAGAGGTCCTTCACATCCCTTGTAAGTTGGATTCCTAGGTATTTTATTCTCTTTGAAGCAATTGTGAATGGGAGTTCACTCATGATTTGGCTCTCTGTTTGTCTGTTGTTGGTGTATAAGAATGCTTGTGATGTTTGTACATTGATTTTTAAGGACATGAACAGACATTTCTCAAAAGAAGACATTTATGCAGCCAAAAACCACATGAAAAAATGCTCACCATCACTGGCCATCAGATAAATGCAAATCAAAACCACAATGAGATACCATCTCACACCAGTTAGAATGGCAATCATTAAAAAGTCAGGAAACAACACGTGCTGGAGAGGATGTGGAGAAATAGGAACACTTTTACACTGTTTGTGGGACTGTAAACTAGTTCAACCACTGTGGAAGTCAGTGTGGCAATTCCTCAGGGATCTAGAACTAGAAATACCATTTGACCCAGCCATCCCATTACTGGGTATATACCCAAAGGACTATAAATCATGCCGCTATAAAGACACATGCACACGTATGTTTATTGCGGCATTATTCACAATAGCAAAGACTTGGAACCAACCCAAATGTCCAACAATGATAGACTGGATTCAGAAAATGTGGCACATTTACACCATGGAATACTATGCAGCCATAAAAAATGATGAGTTCATGTCCTTTGTAGGGACATGGATGAAATTGGAAATCATCATTCTCAGCAAACTATCGCAAGAACAAAAAACCAAACACCGCATATTCTCACTCATAGGTGGGAATTGAACAATGAGAACACATGGACACAGGAAGGGGAACATCACACTCTGGGGACTGTTGTGGGGTGGGGGGAGGGGGGAGGGATAGCATTGGGAGATATTCCTAATGCTAGATGACGAGTTAGTGGGTGCAGTGCACCAGCATGGCACATGTATACATATGTAACTAACCTGCACATTGTGCTCATGTACCCTAAAACTTAAAGTATAATAATAATAAATAAATAAATAAAAACTGCTCAATGAAATAAAGGTTCAACTCTGTGACATGAATGCACACATCAGGAAGAAGTTTCTCAGAATATTTCTGAATCATTTTTATGTGAAGATATTTCCTTTTCCACCATTGGCCTCAAAGCGCTCCAAATCTGCACATGCAGATTCTAAAAAAAGAGTGTTTCAAAGCTGCTCAATCAAAAGAAAGGTTCAACACTCTGAGATGAATGCACACGTCACAAAGAAGTTTCTCAGAATGCTTCTGTCTAGTTTTTATGTGAAGATATTTCCTTTTCCACCATTGGCCTCAAAGCACTCCAAATGTCCTCTTGCATATTCTACAAAAAGAGTGTTTCAAAGCTGCTGAATCAAAAGAAATGTTCAACTCTGTGAGATGAATGCACCCATCACAAAGAAGTTTCTCAGAATGCTTCTGTCTAGTTTTTATTTGAAGATATTTCCTTTTACACCATAGGCCTCAAAACGCTCCAAATGTAAACATCCAGATCGTACAAAAAAAGTTTTTCCAAACTGCTCCATCAAAATAACGGTTTAACTCTGTGAGATGAATGCACACATCACAAAGAATTTTCTCTGAATGATTCTGTCTAGTTTTTACGTGAATATATTTCCTTTTCCACCATAGGACTCTAAGCGCTCCAAATGTCCAATTCTAGATGCTACAAAAAGAGTGTTTCAAAGCTGCTGAATCAAAAGAAAGGTTCAAATCTGTGAGATGAATGCATGCACACATCACAAAGAGTTTCTCAAAACACTTCTCTCTAGTTTTTATATGAAGATATTTCCTTTTCCTCCATAGGACTCTAAATACTCCAAATGTCCAATTCTAGACACTACAAAAAGAGTGTTTAAAAATTGCTCAATCGAAAGTAAGTTTCAACCCTGTGAGATGAATGCACACATCACAAAGAGGTTTTTCAGAATGTTTCTGTCTAGTTTTTATGTGAAGATATTTCCTTTTCCACCATAGGCCTCAAAGCGCTCCAAATGTCCGCTTGCAGATTCTACGAAAAGAGTGTTTCAAAACTGCTCAATCAAAAGAAAGGTTCAACTCTGTGAGATGAATGCACACATCACAAAGAAGTTTCTGAGAATGCTTCTGTCTAGTTCTTAAGTGAAGATATTTCCTTTTCCACCATTGGTCCCAAAGCACTCCAAATGTCCACTTCCGGATTCCACAAAAAGAGAGTTTCCAAACTACTCAATCAAAAAAAGGTTCACCTCAGTGAGATGAATGCACACATCACAAAGAAATTTGCCAGAATGCTTCTGTCTAGTCTTTATATGAAGATATTTCCTTTTCCACCATAGGCCCCAAAGGGCTGCAAATGTCCACTTGCAGATCCTGCAGAAAGAGTGTTTCAAAACTGCTCAATCAAAAGAAAGGTTCAACTCCGTGAGATGAATGCACATTTCACAAAGAAGTTTCTCAGAATTCTTCTGTCAGGTTCTTAAGTGTAGATATTTCCTTTTCCAACACAGGACTCAAAGCTCTCCAAATGTCCCCTTGCAGATTCTACAAAAAGAGTTTCCAAACCACTCTATCAAAAGAAAATTTCAACGCTGTGAGATAAATGCACATATCACAAAGAAGATTCTCAGAATGCTTGGGTCTAGTTATTATGTGAAGATATTACCTTTTCAACAATAGGCCTCAAAATGCTCCAAATTTCCACATGCAGATTCTACAAAAAGAGTGTTTCAAAGCTGTTCAATCAAAAGAAAGCTTCAACTCTGTGAGATGAATGCTCACATCACAAAGAAATTTCTCAGAATGCTTCTGTCCAGTTTTTATGTGAAGATATTTCCTTTTCCAGCATAGGCGTCAAAACGCTCCAAATGTCCACTTACAGATCCCACAAAAATAGTGTTTCAAAACTGCTCAATCAAAAGAAAGGTTCACCTCTGTGAGATGAATGCACACATCACAAATAATATTCTCAGAATAATTCTGTCTAGTGTTTATGTGCAGATATTTCCTTTTCCACCATAGTCCTCAAAGCACTCCAAATGTCCAATTGCAAATCCTACAAAAAGAGTGTTTCAAAACTGCTCAATCGAAGGTAGGGTTCAACTCTGTGAGGTGAATTCTCACATCAAAAAAAGTCTGTCAGAATGCTTCTGTCTAGTTTTCATATGAAGATGTTTCCTTTTCCACCGTAGGCCTCAAAGCACTCCAAATGTCCACATGCGGGTTCTATAAAAAGAGTGTTTCCAAACTGCTCAAGCAAAAGAAATGTTCAACTCTGTGATATGAAAGCACACATCACAAAGAAGTTTGTCAGAATGCTTCTGTCTAGTTTTCATGTATAGATGTTTCCTTTTCCACCATAGGCTGCAAAGCGCTCCAAATGTCTACTTGCAGATTCTACAAAAAGATTGTTTCAAAACTGCTCAATGAAAAGAAAGTTTCAACTCTGTGAGATGAACGCACACATCACAAAGAAGTTTCTCTGAATGCTTCTGTCTAGTTCTTAAATGAAGATATTTCCTATTCCACCACAGGACTCAAAGGGCTCCTAATGTGCACTTGCAGATTCTACAAAAAGAGTGTTTAAACCTGCTCAATCAAAAGAAATGTTCAACCCGGTGAGATGAATGCACACAACACAAAGGATTTTCTATGAATGATTCTGTCTAGTTTTTATGTGAACATATTTCCTTTTAAGCCATAGGCTTCAAAGCGCTTCAAATGTACAATTGCAGATTCCACAAAAAGAGTTTTTCAAAACTGCTCAATGGAAAGAAAGGTTCAAATCTGTGAGAAGAATGCACACATAACAAAGAAGTTTATCAGAATGTTTCTGTATAGTTTTTATGTGAAGGTATTTCGTTTTCCACCATAGGCCTCAAAGAGCTCCAAATGTCCACATGCAGATTCTACAAAAAGAGTGTTTCAAAGCCGCTCAATCAAAAGAAAGGTTCAACTCTGTGAGATGAATGCACAAATCACAAAGAAGTTTGTCAGAATGCTTCTGTCTAGTTTTTATGTGAAGATATTTCCTTTTCTACCATAGGCTGCAAAGCGCACCAAATGTCCAAATTCACATTCTACAAAAAGAGTCTTTCAAAACTGTTCAATCAAAAGAAAGGTTCAACTCTGTGAGATGAATCCACACATCTCAGTGAAGTTTTTCAGAATGTTTCTGTATAGTTTTTATGTGAAGCTATTTCCTTTTCCACCATTGCCTCAAAGCGCCAAAAATGTCCACTTGCAGATACTACAAAAAGAGTGTTTCAAAGTTGCTCAATCAAAAGAAAGTTGAAATTCTGTGAGATGATTGCATATATTACATATAAGTTTCTCAGAATGCTTCTGTCTAGTTTTGTGTGAAGATATTTCCTTTTCCACCACAGGCCTCAAAGCTCTCCAAATGTCCACTTGCAGATTCTACAAAAAGAGTGTTTCAAAACTGCTCAATCGAAAGTAAGGTTCAACTCTTTGAGATGAATGCACCCATCACAAATAAGCTTGTCAGAATGCTTTTGTCTAGTTTGTATGTGAAGATATTTCCTTTTCCACCGTCGGCTGCAAAGCACTCCAAATGTCCACTTGCAATTTCTAGAAAAAGAGTTTTTCAAAACCGCTCAATTAAAATAAAGTTTCAGCTCTGTGAGAGGAATGCACACATCACAAAGCAGTTTCACAGAATGCTTCCGTCTACTTCTTAAATGAAGATATTTCCTTTTCCACCATAGGCCCAAATGCGCTCCAAATGTCCACTTGCAGATTCTACAAAAAGAGAGTTTCTAAGCTACTCAATCAAAAGAAAGGTTCAACTCTGTGAGATGAATGCACACATCACAAAGAAGTTACTCAGAATGCTTCTGTCTACTTCTTAAGTGAAGATATTACCTTTTCCACCTTAGGCCCCAAAGCACTCCTAATGTGCTCTTGCAGATCCTACAAAAAGAGAATTTCCAAACTACTCAACCAAAAGAAAGGTTCAACTCTGTTAGATGAATGCACACATCACAAAGTAATTGGTCAGAATGCTTCTGTCTAGTTTTTATGTGAACATATTTCCTTTTCAACCATAGGCCTCAAATCGCTTCAAATGTACAATTGCACATTCCACAAAAAGAGTTTTTCAAAACTGCTCAATGAACAGAAAGGTTCAACTCTATGAGATGAATGCACACATCACTAAGAAGTTTGTAAGAATGTTTCTGTATAGTTTTTATATGAAGATATTTCCTTTTCCACTATAGGCCTCAAAGCGCTCCAAATGTCCACATGCAGATTCTACAAAAAGAGTGTTTCAAAGCTGCTCAATCAGAAGAAATGCTCAAGGCTATGAGATGAATGCATACATCACAAAGAAGTTTCTCAGAATTCTTCTGTCTAGTTTTTATGTGAAGATATTTCCTTTTCCACTATAGGCCACAAAGTTCTCCATATGTCCACTTGCAGATTCTACAAAAAGAGTGTTTCCAAACTGCTCAATCAAAAGAAAGGTTCTACTCTGTGAGATGAACTCACACACCACAAAGAAATTTCTGAGAATTCTTCCGTCTAGTTTTTATGTGAAGATGTTTCCTTTTCCACCATAGGCCTCAAAGAGCTCAAAATGTCCAGTTGCTGATTCTACAAAAAGAGAGTTTCAAAAGTGCTCCATCACAGGAAATGTTTAACTCTGTGAGATGTATGCACACATCAAAAAGAAGTTTCTCAGATTGCTTCTGTCTAGTTTTTATGTGAAGATATCTCCATTTCCACCATAGGCCTCAAAGCACTCCAAATGTCCACTTGCAGATAGTACAAAAAGGGAGTTTCAAAACGGCTCAATTAAAAGTAAGGTTCAACACTGTGAGGTGAATACACATATCACAAAGAAGTTTATCAGAATGCTTCTGTCTAGTTTTTATGTGAAGATATTTCCTTCTCTGCCATTGGCCTCAATGCGCTCCAAATGTCCACTTGCAGATTCTACAAAAAGAGAGTTTCCAAACTAGAAAATCAAAAGAAAGTTTCAACTCTGTGAGATGAATGCACTCATCACAAAGAAGTTTCTCACAATACTTCTGCATAGTTGTTACATGAAGATATTTTGTTTTCCATTACACTCCTCAAAGCGCTCCAAATGTCCACTTGCAGATTCTACAAAAAAAGCATTTCAAAGCTGCTCAATCAAAAGAAAGGTTCAACTCTGTGAAAAGAATGCACACATCACAAAGAAGTTTCTCAGAATGTTTCTGTCTACTTCTTATGTGAAGATATTTCCTTTTCCACCATAGGCCTCAAAGTGATCCAAATGTCCACTTGCAGATCCTTCAAAAAGATTTCCAAACTAGTCAATCAAAAGAAAGTTTCAACTCTGTGAGATGAATGCACATATAACAAAGACATTTCTAAGAATCCTTCTGTCTAGTTTTTATGTAAAGATATATACTTTTACACCATAGGCATCAACGCACTCCAAATGTCCACTTGTACCTAGTACAAAAAGGATGTTTCAAACCTGCTCAATCAACAGTAAGGTTCAACTCTGTCAGATGAATGCACACATCACAAAGTATTTTCTCAGAATGATTCTTTGCAGTTCTTAAGTGAAGATATTTCCTTTTCCACCAGAGGCCTCAGAGCCCTCCAAATGTCCACTTGCAGATACTGCAAAAAGAGTGTTTCCAAACTGTTCAATCAAAAGAAAGGTTCAAATCTTTGAGATGAATATACACATCATGAAGAAGTTTCTCAGAATGTTTCTGTCCATGTTTTATGAGCAGATATTTCCTTTTCCACCATAGACCTCAAAGCACACCAAGTGTCCACTTGTAGATTCTACAAAAAGAGTGTTTCAAAACTGCTCATTGAAAAGAAATGTTCAACTATGTGAGATGAATGCACACACCACAAAGAAGTTTCTCAGAATGTTCTGTCTAGTTCTTAAGTGAAGATATTTCCTTTTACACCATAAGCCTCAAAGTGCTCCAAATGTCCACTGGCAGATTGTACAAAAACAGTGTTTCAAAACTGCTCAATGGAAAGAAAGGTTCAATTCTGTGAGATGAATGCAAACAACACAAAGAAGTTTGTCAGCATGCTTCTGTCTAGTTTTTATGTGAAGATATTTCCTTTACCACCATATGCCACAAAGTGCTCCAAATGTCCCTTTGCAGATTCTACAAAAAGAGTGTTTCAAACTGCTCAATCAAAAGAAAGTTCAACTCTGTGAGATGCATGCACACATCCCAAAAAAATTTCCCAGAATAATTCTGTGTAGTTTTTCTGTGAAGATATTTCCTTTTCCACCGTAGACCTCAAAGAATTCCAAATGTCCACTTGCAGATTCTACCAAAAGAGTGTTTCAAAATAGATTAATGAAAAGAAATGTTCAACTCTGTGACATGAAAGCACGCATTCCAAAGAAGTTTGTGATAATGCTTCTGTCTAGTTTTTATGTGAAGATATTTCCTTTTCTGCCATAGGCCTCAAAGTGCTCCTAATGTCCACTTGCAGATTCTACAAAAGAGTGTTTCAAAGCTGCTCAATCAAAAGAAAGTTTCAACTCCATGAGATGAATGCACACATCACAAAGAAGTTTCTGAGAATGCTGCTGTCTTGTTGTTATGTGAAGATATTTCCTTTTCCATAATTGGCTGCAAAGCGCTCCAAATGTCCACTTGCAGATTCTACAAAAAGAGTGTTTCAAAACTGCTCAATCAAAAGAAAGGTTCAACTTTGTGAGATGAATGCACACATCACAAAGAAGTTTCTCAGAATGTTCTGTCTAGTTCTTAAGTGAAGATATTTCCTTTTCCACCATAGGCCTCAAAGCACTCCAAATGTCCACTTGCAGATTGTACAAAAACAGTGTTTCAAAACTGCTCAATGGAAAGAAACGTTCAATTCTGTGAGATGAATGCAAACAACACAAAGAAGTTTGTCAGCATGCTTCTGTATAGTTTTTATGTGAAAATATTTCCTTTTCTACCATAGGCCTCAAGGCGCTCCAAAGGTCCACATGCAGATCCTACAAAAATAATGTTTCAAAGGTGCTCAATCAAAAGAAATGTTCAACTCTGTGAGATGACTGCACCCATCACGAAGAAGTTTCTCAGAATGCTTCTGTCTAGATCTTAAGTGAAGATATTTCCTTTTCCACCATAGGCCTCAAAGCGAACAAAATGTCCGCTTGCAGATTCTACAAAAAGAGTGTTTCCAAACTGCTCAACCAAAAGTAAGATTCAACTCTGTGGGTTGAATGAAAACATCACAAAGAAGTTTCTCAGGATGCTTCTGTCTAGTTCTTATGTGAGGATATTTCCTTTTCCACCGTAGGCCTAAAAGTGCTCCAAATATCAACTTGCAGATTCTACAAAAAGTGGGCTTCAAAACTTCTCAATCAAAAGTAAGGTTCAATTCCCTGAGATGAATGCACACATCACAAAGAAGTTTGTCAGAATTCTTCTGTCTAATATTTAAGTGAAGATACTTCCTTTTCCACCATATGCCGCAAAGCGCTCCAAATATCCACTTGCAGATTCTACAAAAAGAGTGTTTCAAAACTGCTCAATCAAAAGAAAGTTCAACTCTGTGAGATGAATGCCCACATCACAAAGAAATTTCTCAGAATATTTCTGTCTAGCTTCTCTATGAAGATATTTCCTTTTCCACCATAGGCCTCAAGTGTTCCAAATGTCCACTTGCAGATTCTACAAAAAGAGTGTTTCAAAGCTGCTCAATCAAAAGAAATGTTCAACTCTGTGAGATTAATGCATACATCACAAACAACTTTCTCAGAATGCTTCTGTCTAGTTATTGTGTGAAGATATTTCATTTTTCACCTTAGGCCTCAAATCACTCCAAATGTCCACTTGCAGATGTTACAGAAAGAGTGATTGAAAACTACACAATCGAAGGAAAGTTTCAACTCTCTGAGATGAATGCACACATCACAAAGAATTTGTCAGAATGCTTCTGTCTAATATTTATGGGAAGATATTTCCTTTTCCACCATAGGCCTCAAAGCGCTCAAAATGTCCACTTGCAGATGCTACAAAAGGAGAGCTTCCAAACTATTCACTCAAAAGAAATGATCAACTCTGTGAGATGAATGCATACATCACAAAGTAATTTGTCAGAATGCTTCTGTCTAATTTTTATGTGAACATATTTCCTTTTCCACTGTAGGTCTCAAGCCACACAAAATGTCCATTTGCAGATAGTACCAAAAGGGTTTTTCAGAACTGCTTAATCAAAAGTAAGGTTCAACTCTGTGAGATGAATGCACATATCGCAAATAGGTTTGTCAGAATGCTTCCACCTAGTTTTTTTGTGAAGATATATCCTTTTCCACCTCAGGCCTCAAAGAGCTCCGCATGTCCCCTTACAGATTCTACAAAAAGAGTGTTTCCAAACTGCTCAATCAAAAGAAATGTTCAACTCTGTGAGATGAATGCACACATCACAAAGAAGTTTCTCAGAATGCTTCTGTGTAGTTTTTAGGTGAAGATATTTCCCTTTCCACCATAGGCCCCAAAGCGCTCCAAATATCCACTTGCAGATACTACAAAAAGTGTTTTTCAAAACTGCTGAATCCAAAGAAATGTTCAACTTTGTGAGATGAATGCACACATCAGAAAGAAGTTACACAGACTGCTTCTGTGTTGTTTTTAGGTGAAGATATTTCAGTTTCCACCATAGGTCTTGAAGCCCTCCAAATATCCACTTGCTCATTCCACAAAAAGTGTGCTTCAAATCTGCTCAATCAAAAGAAAGTTTCAATTCTGTGAGATGAATGCACACATCACAAAGTAGTTTCTCAGAATGCTTCTGTCCAGTTTTTATGTGAAGATATTTCCTTCTCCACCATAGACCTTAAGGCGTTCCAAATATCCACTTGCAGATTTTACAAAAAGAGTGTTTCAAACTGCTCAATCAAAAGAAAGGTTCAACTCTGTGTGTTGAATGCACAAATCACAAAGAAGTTTCTCAGAATGCTTCTGTGTAGTTTTTATGTGAAGATATTTCCTTCTCCACCGTAGACCTTAAAGCACTCCAATTATCCACTTGCAGATCGTACAAAAAGAGTGTTTCAAATGGCTCAATCAAAAGAAAGGTTCAACTCTGTGAGCTGAATGCATAAATCACAAAGAAGTTTCTCAGAATGCTTCCATCCAGTTTTTATGTGAAGATGTTTCCTTTTACCACCATTGGCCACAAAGCGCTCCAAATATCCACTTGCAGATTCTACAAAAAGTGTTTCAAAACTGCTCAATCAAAAGAAAGGTTCATCTCTGAGACATGAATGCACACATCACAAAGGAGTTTCTCAGAAGGCTTCTGTCTAGTTTTTATGTGAAGATATTTCTGTTTCCACTATAGGCCGCAAAGCACTCCAAATATCCACTTGCAGATTCTACAAAAAGAGATTTTCCAAACTCCTCAATCAAAAGAAAGTTTAAACTCTGTGAGTTGAATGCACACATCACAAAGAAGTTTCTCAGAATGCTTCTGTCTAGTTTTTAATTGAAGATACTTCCTTTTCCACCATTGAGCTCAAAGCACTCCAAGTATCCACTTGCAGATTCTACAAAAAGAGTGTTTCAAAACTGCTCAATCAAAACAAAGTTTCAACTCTGTGAGATGAATGCACACATCACAGAGAAGTTTCTCAGAATGCTTCTGTCTAGTATTTATGTGAAGATATTTCCTCTTCTACAATAGGTCTCAAACCACTCCAAATATCCACTTGCAAATACTACAAAAAGATTGTTTCAAAACTGCTCAATCAAAAGAAATCTTCAACTATGTGAGTTGAATGCACACATCACAAAGAACTTTCTCAGAACGCTTCTGTGTAGTTTTTATTTGAAGATATTTCCTTTTCCACCACAGGCCCCAAACTGATCCAAATATCCACATGCAGATCCTTCAAAAGAAGTGTTTCAAAACTGTTCGATCAAAAGAAAGGTTCAATTCTGTGAGATGAATGCACACATCACAAAGAAGTTTCTCAGAAGGCATTTGTGTAGTTTTTATGTGAAGATGTTTCCTTTTCCTCCATAGGCCTCAAATCGCTCCCAATGTCCACTTGCAGATTCTACAAAAAGAGTGTTTCAAAGCTGCTCAATCAAAAGAAATGTTCAGCTCTGTGAGATGAATGCACACATCACAAAGAAGTTTCTCAGAATGCTTCTGTCTAGTTTTTAAGAGAAGATATTTCCCTTTCCTCTAGAGGTCCCAAAGTCCTCCAACTTTGCAGATACTACAAAAAGAGTGTTTCAAAACTGCTCAATCAAAAGAATATTTCAACTCTGTGAGTTGAATGCACACATCACAAAGAAGTTTCTCAGAATGTTTCTGTCTAGTTTTTATGTGAAGATATTTCCTTTTCCACCATAGGCCCCAAAGCACTCAAAATATCCACTTGCAGATTCTACAAAAACAGTGTTTCAGAACTGCTCAATCAAGAGAAACATTCAACTCTGTGAGATGAATGCATAGATCACAGAGGAGTTTCTCAAAATGCTTCTGTCTGGTTTTGATGTGAAGATATTTACTTTTCCACCATAGAATGTAAAGCGCTCCAAATATCCACTTGCAGACACTACAAAAAGAGTATTTCAAAAGTGCTAAATCAAAAGAAAAGTTCAACTCTGTGAGGTGAATGCACACATCACAAAGAAGTTTCTCAGAATGCTTCTTTCTTGTCTTTATGTGAAGATATTTCCTTTTCCATTCAGAACCTCGTAGCAGTGTTCTGTAATCCTGTGTGAGGGACAAACACTCAGAATCCAGCCACTGTGTACTGGAATCCTATCTGAGGGCACACATTTAAAATCCAGATGTAGTCTCCTTGCTTTAGTGAATACACTTATCTCCTTTTCCTGCTATACATTTAGGCAAATTATTTTTCTGTATCTTAAATAAATGGTAAATACCTGAAATTTCTTACTTTTTCCAGGCAGAGTGTCTTCACTATGTAGCTGTAGAAGTATAACTATTTTTGTCTGTGTCACAATTTTGTACTCAGGAACCCTGGCCATGTCACTAGCCAAATGGACATAACTTATGGAATACATGGACAGCATCCGGTTGATATGCTCTAGAGAAAAATAGCAGCTACCATAGACTTCAGGAAAGACACATCGAGCCAATGACAAAAATGTGGGTTTCCTACCTTCAGGGAGTCTAAGAATGCAGTAGAAAGTGATGTGGAGCAAACATCTTTCAAATGGAAGGAAGGGATAGGGAAAGGAAGACTGTTAGAGGCTCTTTTGAATGTTAGAGGCAACATAAAACATATTTGGATGTGTATTCTAAATAAAATGCAAATGTCAAGAAGGATGTCAGCTGTGAGTGGGACTCAGAGAAAGAGAAACGTTTTGGACTACAGAGGCCTGCAGTACAAGTGGATCTACAATTTTGTTTAGGGAATCCAATGCCTCAGGTATCTATGAGAGGCAGAATTTTCCTATGGAGCCAGCGGCAAGGCTCCAGAGGAGAAATACAGTACAAGCCACTTTATTTTGGAGTAAAAGCCTTTTGTACAAAAATTACCCGCCCCCTCCTTTTTTGAGAAACAATTTCACATTGGGATACTAATAAGAAGGAATGCTCAGTCATGAATAAGGGTGACCCCGTTGTGATCTGAGCATTATAGGATCATAGTAACTACAACCAGTCTTCCATCATTCCATGGAAATTGCATGTATGCCACGTTGCCTTCTCAGTTTCCAAGGGACCAATTAATGAACAGGCTACTCACATTTTCAGCATCCTACTCCTGACACACTCCCACCCTTCTTTCTATTTATCTGTGATTCATAGAGATTTGCCTATGACTGGATTCCTGAGGAGAAAAAAGTCTGGATTACAGATGGCATTCCTTGTTATGGAAGGCCCTTCCTTCTGAAAGTCTATTTCTATCATGTTCTTTCCCTGTGCTGTCAAAGGGTCACCCCTTTGTACAAAGGAGAAGAGAAATCCATCAAGTAAATAAAATTTCATTTACCTTTGTAAAAAATATTTCTACCAATTCACGTGGAGGACCTTATGGTTTGGTCCGATAATCAGAGATTTGAAAGAACCTGATATTGTTGGCCAGCAGATTAGAAAAGAGTTATTAGAGAGAGATGGCTCAAGTGATAATAACTGTGTGCCTTGTGAATGCTCACCTAAACCAAAGATCACTGAAGATAATGTATTTTACCATAATGTTTTAATCTCAGGTAAATGCCAATTAGGAGACAAACACTTGTTTATCTCCTGATTGGTATTGATCTGAATTAAGCTGTCTGCCATTTGGAGAAATTTAAATGCTATTTTAAACACACAGTCTTGTTACTTGAGTTATTTATGATCTTAAGCGGCTCCCCCCCTTTTGTGGGTTAGATTGTGTCTTCAAAAAGAAAATATATATATTAGAGTTCTAGCCCCTGATGTCTGTGAGTATGACTTAATTTGAAATCAAATTATTTGCAGATGCTGTATAATTATGATATGCTAGATGAGCTCATAATGCATTAGAGTGGGCCATAATTCAATATGGTTGATATCCTCATAAGAAGGGAAGAGGAAACAGAGACGCAGGGAGGAGATGGCAATGTGAGGATGGAGGTAGAGAATAAAGTGAGGTATCCTCCAGCCAAGCAATGACAATGAAGCTCAGTGATCACCCGGTGCTAGAAGAAGCAAGAAAGGATTTTTTTCCAGGTCATTCAGAGAAAAATGCAGCACTGCTAACTCCTTCATTTAAGATTTCTAGCTTTCTGAACCGTAAAAGAATAACTTTATCTCATTTTAAGCGACCTAATGTGAACCACTTTGTCACAGCAGATATAGGAAATTACACCTCCTTAAAGAATGCAGAATCCTGGCCCGTGCTTGCCTCATACCTATTGAATGAGAATCTAAGGGCTCTAGAATCTGCATTTTGAAACTAATACATAATACACAAAGAGAACTCACTAAGTACTCTACATGCACTTCATCCTCACAAGCCATGAAGTAGTTTACTATTATAATTCTCATTTTACATATGGGAAACTGGAGCATGAAAAGATTAAGTAATTTGCCTACAGTCACTCACATAACCAGAAAGTGGAAGAGCTGGGATTCAATCCCAGTTCCAGACATCCTGATATCCTGGTTTCAGACACCACACACTTAGCAACTATTACACACTTAGCATTATTATTATTATTATTATTATTATTATTTTAATCACCATCTCCACCTTCTTAAGCACTCAAAAGTTGAAATCCAGTGGTGTGTTGCTGTTTCCATTCATAGCAAGTTATAGCCAAAATCATAAATTACACTTCCTCCAAAACAGTATACTGACTTCTCATCTCTTTTTAAAATCCCTTCCGTCGTTCTTTTCTTTCTTCTCTTCTCTTTTCTTTTCTCTTTTCTTTCTCTTGCTCTGTCACCCAGGCTGGAGTGCAGTGGCATCATCTCGGCTCACTGCGACCTCCACCTCCTGGGTTCAAGCGATTCTCCTGTCTCAGCCTCCCAAGTAGCTAGGATTACAGGTGCCCAACACCATGCCCGTTTAATTTTTGTATTTTTAGTAGAGATGGGGTTTCACATCTTGGCCAGGCTGGTCTTGAACTGCTGACGTCGTGATCCATCCACCTCGGCCTCCCAAAGTGCTGGGATTACAGGCATGAGCCACTGTGCCCAGCCTCTTTCACCCATTGAAATCTCATTTCAACAATTACCATCTTTTTTGAGTGGTATTTTTGAAGTTATAAATGAATTCCCTATAATACATAGTGAGAATATTTATGGGAGCTTCCTAATTGACTTTCTAAACATTCTGCATTGCTTCTCATTTCCTTCTTTAAATTTCCTTCTACCTTGACTTCCTTAAGACCACTCAATGTTGGCCCCATGCTTTCATTTTTTTCTTTTTTCTTTTTTTTTTGAGATGAAGTTTCCCTCTTTTCACCCAGGCTGGAGTGCAACAGTGTGATCTCAGCTCACTGCAACCTCCGCCTCCCAGTTTCAAGAGACTCTCCTGCCTCAGCCTCCCGAGTAGCTGCGATTACAAGCATGTGCCACCATGCCCAGCTAATTTTGTATTTTTACTAGAGATGGGGTTTCTTCATGTTGGTCAGGCTGGTCTCAAACTCCCAACCTCAGGTGATCCGCCCGCCTCGGCCTCCCAAAGTGCTGGGATTATAGGCATGAGCCACAATGCCCAGCCCATGCTTTCTTTTTAATAACTCCTTGCTGCCTAGTTTTTTCATGTCCACTGTGTAACTACTAGTCTTAATGGGTATTTCTTTTCTTACTATTCTGCACCAATGTTTCCCTGATTGACAATAGTTTTCCTGAAATGTATTCTTGGAATGGAATTGTATGATACGCTTAGAAAATTCTGCATACCTTATACTTCAGAATGTGTATGTAAAAGACTCCAGTAAATGATCCAGGGAAGCAAAAATATTTGTGTGTTTTGCGAGTTGTATTCATATGTGTATAAAATTCCCACAGCACTTTGGGTAACAATGCTCTGCACACTTTTCCTGTGCTCCTTTTATCCATTCCCACACTTCCAGCATTTCCTTTGACGTTTGATTTTCTTTATTTTTTTTTACTCCAATATTTTCCTGTAGGTTTCAAACCTATATTTTAAAATATCAACTGATTCTCTCCCTCTGTCTTCACCACCTGCATCTCAAATTTGACATAGCCATAAACACATTTTATATTTTGGCAAATAAATCTATTTCTTTTAAAGCATTGCCCATCTCAGCTAATGATGATAATATCAAGCCAGTCGCCAAGAAAATTTAGAGTATTTATACCTTGACTCTTCCTTCTAAATGAATTATTAAGTTCAGCTGTTTCTACCTTGAATTACCTTTCTATTCTGCCATTTCTCTTCTGTGTTGCTGCTAATGTTTTAATTTAGTTATTCATCACATCATGCCTGTACTGCTGGAATAATCTTGACTATTCTTTCTGACTTTTTCTTCTAACTGCATCTCAAAAACTTCTATCTAGAATGAAAATAAGTATATATATATACTATATATACATATATGCATATACACTATATGTATGTATATAGTATAAGTATAGACATGCTATATACTATATATACTATATATTTATATACACACACACCCACTATGCTTTTAAAAATTGTTTACTTATGTCCCATCATTGAAGGGTAAAATACAAAATCACTGATATTGAGAGACATTCTCCTCAATCATTTAACATTGTCCTTCACAAACCTGTGCTGTAGCCACACCCAGAACAGGTTATGTTCCTTCAAAGACACACACACTTTTCTATCACTCTCCTTTTACTCCTTCTATTCCATCTGCTTAGACCATTTTTTACTTGTTTTCTGTCTATCTCCATTCATTTTTCAGGATCCAATTAAAATATTGATACAAAGGCTGAGATCTTTATATCTTCTCTTATTTAAATTCCTGGAGCACCAGATAACTTCCTCTATTATAATTCTTACTGTATACAACCATAACTCTCATTTGAAAACAATGAATACATAATTATAAAATCAGATATATCATAAAATGATTGGTATCAATATGTGAAAAAAAATCTTTAATGTTGAAAGTACAAGATTACAAGCCATCTGAAAGTAACTGAACATCAATCAGAGAAAAATGCTCATCATTTTTTGATGAAACCAAAAGTAAGAGAATTTGGTATTAATCTACTACATCATTGGTAAATTACATATTAATTATTGTGAGAAAGAAATAATTGACGGAATTTAAAGAAAATCGGTTTTCCTTTATTTTTATTATTCTACCTAAAAGTATTATATCTAATTAAAATCATGATTTTAAAATTATCCCATCAAGTATGTCATCACACTAAAATCCATTGTATTTAATTTCTCAACTGAGAAATTGTATTCAATTGTATTCATTTTCCCTACTGAAAAATTAATATAAAAGCAATCACATAGCATTCAGAAATTAATAAATATTTAAAGAAATTAAACAGCATTAGATTTTCTTGTTGTAAAATTTTTTTCTTCTCTCAGTATGGCTTATGTCTCTGCTTCTATTGAACATAGCACAATTCAAGTATTAATACAGCACCTTTATAAAAGTTGTGAATCTCAGAAATGAACAAGCTTACCTCCCTAGTTATTTATTAAAAGTTACAAGTCACTTTTTTTTAACTTCCTAATAATCTTAGAGGGGTATATTTTGTGTTTTTGTTTGCTATATCTTTCATAAAGAAGATCCCTAATGATTTGAAAGTTAGAACCAATTTTCTGAAGGATTGAGCCACGCTCCTTGAAGTTGTGTGTTTGTGGGTGGCACACTATGTCTTTTGCAGACCCGGAACCTACCCCTTGGTCTAGAACATATTTTCCTCCACCTGCCTTTTAAGTTTTTATTTCAGCAGGAGTGGGTGGTTTGTGGTTGACCGAAAATAGAACGGGCTACAAAAGCCCTTCCTGTTTGATATTGAATCTGCTATTTGAGTCACCCTTACATTATGAACTGACTGTTAATTAACACATTTGGTAAGAGAATATCCTGATCTGCTTTGCATGTGAGGCTCTCCCAGTAATAAACAAAGAAGCATAATCAAACAAGATTTTAATTTCTCTATGCCCTGTTAGAAATTCAGATATAATTCAAGTCATCTTGGAAATTTTAAGTTGCATTCTGATGTCGTCTCTGTTCTGGCCATTGTGCAATGGGCCTTCAAATGTTGTAGTAGAGGCCAACTGATATTCCATTGTTATTCATTTATACACAGGTACATATATGGTGTGTGTACGCAAATATATAAATATTCATATATGTGTACATGTGTACATACATACATATGGAGGTAATACAAGTTTGCATTGTTTTTAAAATTTTTTTACCCAAATTAACAATGACTCTATTGCATATCTTTATTGGTTATATCACATTTATATAAATAAATTTATATCAGTGACAATTTCCAAGTAAGTGAAATTTGAATTGGATTCAGGGTTTTATTTTTTTGAAATTTCTGATTAAAATTACTTGATTTTTTAAATTTTATCTTAAAATATTCAAGTCCCATTTGTAAAAAAAAAAAATAGAGGATTAAAATGAAGTGTGTCTTTATGAGTCACAAATTTTTATTTTACTTTACTAATTGTTAAAATAATATTTTTTCCATGAGGCATTTTATAATGCCCTCTTTATTTTTTTGGTGATGTATTTTTTTATTATTATTATTATACTTTAAGTTTTAGGGTACATGTGCACAATGTGCAGGTTAGTTACATATGTATACATGTGCCATGCTGGTGCACTGCACCCACTAACTCGTCATCTAGCATTAGGAATATCTCCCAATGCTATCCCTCCCCCCTCCCCCCACCCCACAACAGTCCCCAGAGTGTGATGTTCCCCTTCCTGTGTCCATGTGTTCTCATTGTTCAATTCCCACCTATGAGTGAGAATATGCGGTGTTTGGTTTTTTGTTCTTGCGATAGTTTGCTGAGAATGATGATTTCCAATTTCATCCATGTCCCTACAAAGGACATGAACTCATCATTTTTTATGGCTGCATAGTATTCCATGGTGTATATGTGCCACATTTTCTTAATCCAGTCTATCATTGTTGGACATTTGGGTTGGTTCCAAGTCTTTGCTATTGTGAATAATGCCACAATAAACATACGTATGCATGTGTCTTTATAGCAGCATGATTTATAGTCCTTTGGGCATATAGCCAGTAATGGGATGGCTGGGTCAAATGGTATTTCTAGTTCTAGATCCCTGAGGAATTGCCACACTGACTTCCACAGTGGTTGAACTAGTTTACAGTCCCACCAACAGTGTAAAAGTGTTCCTATTTCTCCACATCCTCTCCAGTACCTGTTGTTTCCTGACTTTTTAATGATTGCCATTCTAACTGGTGTGAGATGGTATCTCATTGTGGTTTTGATTTGCATTTATCTGATGGCCAGTGATGGTGAGCATTTTTTCATGTGTTTTTTGGCTGCATAAATGTCTTCTTTTGAGAAGTGTCCGTTCATGTCCTTCGCCCACTTTTTGATGGGGTTGTTTGTTTTTTTCTTGTCAATTTGTTTGAGTTCATTGTAGATTCTAGATATTAGTCCTTTGTCAGATGAGTAGGTTGTGAAAATTTTCTCCCATTTTGTAGGTTGCCTGTTCACTCTGATGGTAGTTTCTTTTGCTGTGCAGAAGCTCTTTACTTTAATTAGATCCCATTTGTCAATTTTGTCTTTTGTTGCCATTGCTTTTGGTGTTTTAGACATGAAGTCCTTGCCCATGCCTATGTCCTGAATGGTAATGCCTAGGTTTTCTTCTAGGGTTTTTATGGTTTTAGGTTGAACTTTTAAGTCTTTAATCCATCTTGAATTGATTTTTGTATAAGGTGTAAGGAAGGGATCCAGTTTCAGCTTTCTACATATGGCTAGCCAGTTTTCCCAGCACCATTTATTAAATAGGGAATCCTTTCCCCATTGCTTGTTTTTCTCAGGTTTGTCAAAGATCAGATAGTTGTAGATATGTGGTGTTATTTCTGAGGGCTCTGTTCTGTTCCATTGATCTATATATCTGTTTTGGTACCAGTACCATGCTGTTTTGGTTACTGTAGCCTTGTAGTATAGTTTGAAGTCAGGTAGTGTGATGCCTCCAGCGTTGTTGTTTTGGCTTAGGATTGACTTGGTGATGTGGGCTCTTTTTTGGTTCCATATGAACTTTAAAGTAGTTTTTTCCAATTCTGTGAAGAAAGTCATTGGTAGCTTGATGGGTATGGCATTGAATGTGTAAATTACCTTGGACAGTATGGCCTTTTTCATGAGATTGATTCTTCCTACCAATGAGCATGGAATGTTCTTCCATTTGTTTGTATCCTCTTTTATTTCCTTGAGCAGTGGTTTGCAGTTCTGCTTGAAGAGGTCCTTCACATCCCTTGTAAGTTGGATTCCTAGGTATTTTATTCTCTTTGAAGCAATTGTGAATGGGAATTCACTCATGATTTGGCTCTCTGTTTGTTTGTTGTTGGTGTATAAGAATGCTTGTGATTTTTGTACATTGATTTTGTATCCTGAGACTTTGCTGAAGTTGCTCATCAGCTTAAGGAGATTTTGGGCTGAGACAATGGGATTTTCTAGAT
Source organism: Homo sapiens (assembly GCF_000001405.40). NCBI lineage: Eukaryota > Metazoa > Chordata > Mammalia > Primates > Hominidae > Homo > Homo sapiens. Next base: position 65,161,573 of record NC_000009.12, on the reverse strand, counting down.
ATACAATCATGTCTTCTGCAAACAGGGACAATTTGACTTCCTCTTTTCCTAATTGAATACCCTTTATTTCCTTCTCCTGCCTGATTGCCCTGGCCAGAACTTCCATTACTGTGTTGAATAAGAGTGGTAAGAGAGGACATCCCTGTCTTGTGCCAGTTTTCAAAGGGAATGCTTCCAGTTTTTGCCCATTCAGTATGATATTGGCTGTGGGTTTGTCATAGATAGCTCTTATTATTTTGAAATATGTCCCATCAATACCTAACTTATTGAGAGTTTTTAGCATGAAGGTTGTTGAATTTTGTCAAAGGCCTTTTCTGCATCCATTGAGATAATCATGTGGTTTTTGTCTTTGGTTCTGTTTATATGCTGGATTACATTTATTGATTTGCATATATTGAACCAGCCTTGAATCCCAGGGATGAAGCCCACTTGATCATGGTGGATAAGCTTTTTGATGTGCTGCTGGATTCGTTTTGCCAGTATTTTATTGAGGATTTTTGCATCAATGTTCATCAATGAAAATCAATATATATCATAACAGCTCTGTAAATGTTTCTCTGAGTTCTGTGAGCCATCCTAGGAACTTAATTGAACCCAGGGAGGGGGCTCATGCGAACCCTTTTTTTTTTTTTTTTTTTTTTTTTTTTGAGATGGGGTCTCATTCTGTCTCCCAGGCTGGAGTGCAGTTGCAGGATCTCAACTCACTGCAACCTCTGCCTCCCGGGTTCAAGCGATTCTCCTGCCTTAGCCTCCCTGGTAGCTGGGCTTATAGGAGCCCGCCACCACACCCAGCTAATTTTTGTATTTTATTTCATTTATTTATTTTTTTGAGATGGAGCATCGCTCTCTCACCCAGGCTGGAGTGCAGTGACATGATCTCTGCTCACTGCAAGCTCCACCTCATGGGTTCAGGCCGTTCTCCTGCCTCAGCCTTCCAAGTAGCTGGGACTACAGGCGTCCGCCACCATGCCTGGCTAATTTTTATTTGTATTTTTAGTAGAGATGGGGTTTCACCGTGTTAGCCAGGATGGTCTTGATCTGACCTCGTGATCCGCCTGCCCCGGCCTCCCAAAGTGCTGGGATTACTGGTGTGAGCCACCGTGCCCAGTTTAATTTTTGTATTTTTAATAGAGACGGGGTTTCACCATGTTGGCCAGGCTGGTCTCAAACCCCTGATCTCAAGTGATCCACCCGCCTTGGTCTCCCAAAGTGCTGGGATTACAGGCGTGAACCACCATGACCGGCCGTGGATGTAGTTTTTAGCCAGGTAGTCAGAAGTATGCGTTGCCTGGACTTGGAATTAGTGCCTGAAGTGGGGCTGGTCTCATGGGATCGAGCCGTCAATCTGTGGGATTGGACACTATCTGCAGGTAGACAGTGTCAGGATTGAATTGAATAAGAGGACACCCAGTTGGTCTCTGTGAGAAATGTTTGGTGTGTAAGGAAAAGCCCCCACACAGCCAGCCACAGAAGTGTGCTATTGTTGAGTGTGAGAGTACAAGGGAAAAACAGTTTGCTTTTTTGCTTTACAGTGGGATATTTGATCCATAGGTCTATATCTAAGCACATGAATAGAATGTGTTTGGGCCTGGTTTTTTAGTCTTGCTGGTCAGTAACTAGTTTGACAAGAGAGACTAGCACACTGATCCCAAAAGAACTAGGCCAAGAGCAGATAGGATTTGTGGAAACTTGAACCTCTTATTAGCTCCTTAAAAGACGTACTTTTCTAGACTTCTTTGGAGCCTGGGATTCTAGTACTGGTGAGTTTCCACCGGCAGCAGACTCCCTGAAGATTTGCTAGCCCTCTGCAGGGTTGGCAGGCCACTACCACATTTAGTTGGCTCCTAGGGTATGTTCCACACCAGACTTCCCATTGTGGGAAGGCCAAGAGAACTGAAGAGACAGTCTCTACTCTGGAGGTGGGGAAGTGGGGGAGGTGGTAATTTAATTAACAGTAGGTGGTGGGTGAGGCGACTTGGTAAGGTAAGAGGACACACAAAGGAAGTAACTGCAGTAAACCTTAGCTGGCAGCACAAGTGAGGAGGTGTGCTTGAAAGAGAAATGGAGTGTCTGGAAGTGGGTGAGTATATTCTGGTAGGTGTGACAAAGGCACTGTTCCTCCAACACCAGTCCTGGGAAAGGCATATGATATGGTTTGGCGCTGTGTCCCCAGCCAAATCTCATGATGAATTATGAGCTTCAGTGTTGGAGGAGGGGCCTGGTGGGAGGTGACTGGATCATGGGGGTGAATTTCCCCCTTGTTGTTCTCGTGCTAGTGAGTTCTGAGATCTGGTTGTTTAAAAGTGTGTGGCACTGCCCCTTCACTCTCTCTCCTGCCGCCATGTGAATATGTACTTGCTTCCCCTTTGCCTTCCCCATGATTGTAAGTTTCCTGAGGCCTCCCCAGCCATGCCTCTTGTATAGCCTGCAAAACTGAGTCAATTAAACCTTGTTTCTTTATAAACTATCCACTCTCAAGTAGTTCTTTACAGCAGTGTGAGAACAGACTAATACAACATGGGATCCCAAGTAACTATGCATTCAGAGAAGAAACACAGGTATGTTTGGGAACTGGATGATGGAAGGTACAGGGAAGCACTGTAGGTAACTTTCATGGGTCCTACACTCTACAACATATTCTTGGGGTTGGAATGAGTCAAACAGGAGACTGATGTCCAGGATGGAATTGGCTGTTTATGTTCCCAGGTGTAGGTCTCTTCCTTAACAGATCACGGTAGCTTCATTACAAATGGCCTGGGAAGCGTACATAATGCAGAAACCCCAGCAAATTCTTACAGGGGTTAGTCATGCAGTTATACATTTTCATTCTGGGATTTCTAGGGGCTTAATAAAATTCCTTCATTGGATCATTTAATCCAACATAAATTATTTCCCTACACCTACTTTATACTTGCTCCCTGATTTCATACCAGTGAGTATAGCCTGATGTAACTAAACATTCTGAATTTTCAGTGATACCCAGAGAAGAGTGTGATAACCAATTCTCTCAAAAGCGATTTACTGCAAATATTTTCATTTACAGTAAGTCCTTACTTAACATTGTGGATATGTTCTTGGAAACAGTGACTTTAAGCCAAACGAGGTACTGTGTGGCTTCATAACTCAACTCTTTTTCCTATCAATTAGACTATGGGAAAACTGGTTTCGTATGCATTATGTCCTTTTGCTTAAAGTGGTAGTTTCCAAGAACCTATCAATGACATTAAGTGAGGACTTATTGTAATCTGATATCTGCGGGTGGATAATTTAAGGAACACATACATAGTTAAGCCTGTAAACTGCTGCAAGTTCCAGATATTATCAGTTCTATTTCTCCACAATTACAATTCCAGTTTTGGGGTTTCTTTTTGCTCATTAAATTTGAAAAGCCAATTCCAGTTTTAAAGCTTGACCCTTTTCTTATAACTTTTTTTATAACTGATAATATATCAGTTATATCAGTTATATTTCTTAGGCTTCCCACGAAACCCTCAAACTGACTCTGAGGGTGGCCTTGCTATCTAATTTACAAAACCGGTTATCTTGGTTTGTGTTCATTTTATTTCCCTTGCATACATTGCTTAGCTGCTTCTGATTATATGCCTCTTAGCCACGGCTGGATAGAAAAGTGTAATAAGAGAAAAGTGTAACTAAGAGACACAGAAGAAAGAGAAATTCCATGAGCACCAGATACTTTTATGGGTGCCTTTTGGAAGCTCTAAATTGAGATGTATCTTTGTTGTCAATTTATGCTATGAATCCAAACGAAAAATGGGGGGAGAAAAACAAATAGGCTGTAGATGAAAGTGGAAGAAGAAAAATGAGTCTATATATATATATATATTAGCAGTTGTATGAAAGTATATGAGTCAATATTCCATCAATACCTAGAAAAATAGTAGATCAATATGCTGATTTTAGGGGTGGACACAAAAGTGTTATAAGTGTCTTTTAACTTTTCTTTTTTCCCTCCTTGACTCTGAAGAGAAACACCATTTTTTCTACGTATGCAAAGAGTAAAAATTCAGAACTAACATGCAGGGATTAATAGCAGTGAATTGCAAACTCAACTCAGTGGTATAGTACCTGGCAACATTATTACTCAGCATATTTCCCTGGCTGAGGCTGACTTCATTTAAAGTAGTTTTATACTTTTGCTAAAAATAAGTGTACATCCCATTAAGGGAGAAAAGATCTTCTACACAATGGATTGGACCTACATAACCTTATGTACCAGAGAGGAAAACATCATTCTCATGAGTCGCAAAGCTTTCTTCTTCTTGTCAATATGATAAACAGTTTCCGGAAATTGAGAATGACGCTGGTTACTTTCCTTCCTCCTGAACATGCCACACTGAAGAGACAGGGATGACTCCTTCCCTATGGGACAGACACACATGTAGCTTTCCCTGGGTTGTGGAGGAAGGCATGGCCACAACACCATTGGCAGTCTGCTGCAGGGACCTCACGATGAGAGGAAGCAATGGATGCCTGGGCCAGGGAAATGCATATTTGGGAGAAAGCAGGAAATTCTGATGTAGAGATAGGGAAGAACCCTGGGGAAAAGGACCCAAGCTGGACGGGGAGGAGGAAACCACCAGGATCCCAGGATCAGAGACAAAGGACCCAGGGACACAAACAAAGTGAGGCCAGATGGAGAGGGCAGGCTCACGGGGAGAGCAAGCTCACAGGGAGAGCATGAGCCAAACCTGGCTTATTTCACACTCATCAGAGAGACTGCACAGTTGGGGCCAAACCAGGGCCCAGGAGCATCGGAGAGAGGAGGGCCATTTCAAAGACTTTTGTAAAATAAGCTCAAAGTTTCTTTGTTTATTTGTGGGTGTGGGAGTGGAAACGTAGGGAAAGTGAAGAAAGTGGGGGAAAAGGGATGGGTGATTTTGTAGGCAAGATGCTCCCTGAGGAGGTCCTGGTGGACCTGCTGTGGGGAGTGGCATTCTGCACACTCTCATATCATGGGGAGCGCATGACTACATTACTGCTTACACATCTCCAAGTGCAGCTTGGGGGGTGAATGTTTAATTGTCTCACTGTAACTGTCTAAATCTCTGGAAAATGTGAAGGGTCATGCATTTGATTTAAACCTATGAGGTCTGAATGAATTCTCCTCCATGCCTAACCGAGTGAAGCAAGTATATAACCAACCATGCATCCCTAAGCAGGGCCGGTATGAAAGGGAGGAAACGCCTCCCCACTGAGCTCGCAAAGAACTTCATCACTGACCTGAATCAGATCCAGCAGGAAATGAAACAATGAGTACATACTTTTACAGTAGAGGGAGGGGGACGGAAAACAAAGTGAGCTGAACTGAAACGTGAGAAAGAACAGAATGGCAGTGAGTCCACGGGGCAGGGCCGCAGCTTTCTTTCTTCATGGCCCTCAGTCCAGTAACCCCACCCGGCATTCGTAGCGGGTGACATCATTGATGCCCAAACATACTCCAGCAATTTCCTGCTTTCCAGAGTCCAGCCGAGCCATGATGTCAGTGGTGCACCTGGGTAAAGATATGGCAGGGCCGGGTCACAGGGAGTGGGGACAAAGGCCAACCCAGTTAAATAAACTGCTGGTCTTCTAGGGCCTGGTCCCTAGGCAGGCTTCCACCATGAGATAGGTATAGCCCAGGCCAATCCCAACAAGAGGAAAAAAAGCATGTACTTGGCCGGGGGCGGTGGCTCACACCTGTAATCCCAGCACGTTGGGAGGTTGAGGCGGGTGAATCACGAGGTCAGGAGTTTGAGACCAGCCTGAACAATGTGGTGAAACCCTGTCTCTACTAAAATTGGAAAAAATTAGCTGGGCGTAGTGGTGGCCACCTGTAATCCCAGCTACTCGGGAAGCTGAGGCAGGAGAATCGCTTGAACCTGGGAGATGGAGGTTGCAGTGAGCCGAGATCACACCACTGCACTCCAGCCCAGGCAACAGAGTAAGACTCTGTCTCAAAAAAAAAAAAAAAAAAAAAAGAATGCACCCATGCAGTGCCTCCTGTCACCCTCTGCCCAGAAAGGGCACAGGGGCCAGGGTGAAAGAGTTACAGGAAGACAGAGGGAAGGAAACCATGCAGACATAACCACATGGGGGCAGGCCCTAAGCTGCTGGGACCTCCACAGTGTATCCCTTTCCTCCAACTGGGAGACGGAAGCACCGATGGTCTTTCTCTACAGTGCCAGGAGCCACCCTGCCCCCAGAGATGCCCTACAATCAATGACTACCATCTAAATGCTTCTGGATAGTTTCATTCCTTGTAGATGATATTCCAAATATTATAATTTGTACTTCTCCACAATTACAATTCCAGTTTTGGGGTTTCTTTTTACTCATTAAATTTGAAAAGCCAATTCCAGTTTTAAAGCTTGACCCTTTTCTTAAAAGTTTAACTTCTCTTTTTATTCAGGCTTCCCACTAAACCCTCAAACTGTCTCTGAGGGTGGCCTGACTAATTTACAAAACCGGCCAGGCTGCCTAACCCCTAGATTCCAGCCCAGAGTGTTGCCATAAATTGCTGTCAAGACATGCCTCTATGTCCCATGTTTGCCAGTGAGAAAAGGGTTCATATTCTAAGTTCTTCAAGTCTCTCTCACTGCCTCAATGTGAAGTCAATGGAAAACAGTCAAATACACCAAAAATTAACTTCAAATGGATATCTGCTATGAATTCCAACTTGGTTGGACACCTCTCCAGGCCAACTGTTGTGAAAATGCATTGTTGTTTTAAAAAACACTGTGAGAGATGGCTGGGCGTGGTGGCTTACTTGAGGTCAGGAGTTTGAGAACAGCCCGGCCAATATGGTGAGACCCCAGTCTCTATGAAAAATATAAAAATTGAGCCAGATGTGGTGGCATGCACTTGTAGTCCACGCTACTTGGGAGGCTGAGGTAGGAGTATCACTTGAACCTGGAAGGCGGAGGTTGCAGTGAGCCGAGATCATGCTACTGCACTCCAGCCTGGGTGACAGAGCAATACTCTGTCTCAAAAAAAAAAAAAAAAAAAAAAAAAGAGCGAGAGAAAACACTGTGAGAAGAAAGAAGTCAATCACCCCCTCTCCAATGCCCAACACAGTAAGCAAGAAGGGCCCAGGAAAAAATTAACAGGGAAAAACAATCTTGCATTTGCTTAGTTGAATCTGGGGTTTGCACACATTAGTCAGAGCTAGACAAATCATACTGAATACACTTCTTATAGAAACATTCTAGCTCTTATGGCCTTTCCTTGCTGTCCCAACTTTTGAGGTGCGAAAACACAGCAACACAGCCAGGACCGGCCAGGTGATGGCACGGAGCCCGCTCCCACAGGCTGCGTGTGTGTTCTCACTCTCTTGCAACTGGCCTGAGTTAAGCCTTCTCCCCAAGCACTTGCAGTTTATCATCGCCCTATTTACTGTATTTTCATGTTATAAAAGTGATATACACCCAACGTAGTAATTTGATCTATACAAAAAAGAGAAGAAAAAAAGCTACTCATAATATCACTGTCTAATTTAAGGTTTTGGTGTAGTCTTTCTAGTCTTTTTCTATATGGAATGTAATTTACTTCTCAAAAATATCATTTCATATACTTTGCTTACATATTAGCATTTTTGTCATGAAATTTATGCCAACTGATTAAACAGCCCTTGTAAATTACAGAAACTTAAAGACAATATCAAAACAATGTGACCACAAGACAAAGACCACCTACTACTAAATTATTTTTGGCATGAGATTATTTTTTGAGAAGTTTTATAAACTATTAGGTTTATTGAACACTATAAACTGTAATCCTTGAAAGAATTTTGGAAGCATACGATAACAGGGTAATTTGTAGTAGAATATAGGGTTGGAAAACCTTAAAAAACACTTGCTCATTTCTTCCTATATCAAAGATTTGTATTAGAAAATCTATTTCTTACAAAAAGATGTACTAAGTGGTATTATGTCAGTCAAGCATCTTGTATTATTTTCTAGCTTTCAATAATATGTATAATGTCATAAAAAAGAGAGAAGAATACACAAAATACATATGAAGCTTACTAGGAATGAAGAAAGTTATTTTAGGAAGGAAAAATTGGTTACCATCAAGGAATATGGAAAACACTAGCAATGCATGTAAGAATGACCTCAAAGGTCTTAGACGTCCACGAGCTGGGAATGCTTGTGCTGGGTGCTTCAGTTACAACAGCATGGGGAAGTTAAATAGACTAGTGAAGCTGTTACATCAGTTAATAGTATTTATTATTATTTGTGGTCACCAATGCCAATTAAGACAGTAATTAAATAGAACATGATGAAATAATTCAATGGTAGGAAAAAAAAATCTGGCCTACAAGTGAACATGGAAAGTAAAAGTAAATATTTAGAAAGTGAAATCAGGAGCGGAAAAAAGCTCCAGCATCTCACCATGGGGTCTTCCAAAGCCAGCAGTACTGGAGATGTTTATTGTTCAAAGATGGACTTGCTTGGGTTGGGATTCTCCAACTAGAGCCAGAGGGGAGATTCTCTGCTTCCCTTGAGGACACAACAAGAGAGGCTTTCTTATAAAGCCTGCCACATTCTGTGCCTGTATTGTTTTATTTACTGGAGTCTATCATAAGGCCTGTGAGGAAAGGACTGAATCTCTTTCTCATAGCCGTTGGGCTGATGGCCCTGCGTGCTGTAGGCATTTAATAATTCACTGAGTAAATGAATGAACCCTGCAGGAGATTGGGAGCCTTTCTGATCTTGAGGTCTCAGTTTGGACTATCTTTCTGGAGTGGATAGACGAATATGTTTTTCAGCAGCACTCTAATAAGCGCACATTGGGTGACTAAGCAGAAGAGTGATTCGTTTTGCTAGAATTTTCCAACCTGCAGGAGCCAGTCCCCCTGGTGTCCCCATTCCCTGTCCCCTCAGTCATCTCAGCAGGAAATTACTATCCTTTCTCCCACATGGGTGATGAATGTTCAAGGCATTTCAGCACACTGTGGTAAGGCCCAGAATGGGTTCAAGTAAAAGTAAATACCAGTCCTTATTAGGAGATCCTGGCCCCTCTGCTGCATGTGTCCCAGTACACATGCAGCTTCCTGCTCTGTCATAGAAAGCAGCCCTCTAGGTCCACTGCCTCCAGTGAGAGTTTCCTGACCTCCAGGAACTTCTGTAGTCAGGCACCACTCCCTTCCCTCACACCCAACACCCTATTGTTCCAGATTTTATCACTGTGCACTGATGCTCACTGCGACCCCACATGTGGCCACAGGAGGAACTCGGCTGAGGGCTGAGAAGACCAGATAATGACACAGAGGGCTCACTTCAGGAAACCCAGAGAGCTGCAGCGGCTCCTCCAGGGCCATTCCACGCATTCATTTTCTAACAAGTCATAAGTCAAAGAGTGACATCAGGAGCGGACAGCCTGGTGTCCAGGCATGAGCCATGGCAACAGATTCTGATTTCCCAGAACGGCTTTGGTCTTTACCTGGTGTTGGATATGGTAGTGTTAGCTGGAGTGGGAGGAGATTCACATTGTATATTTGTTTAGTGACTCCAAAGATTTTAAATTATATTGTGTTTTTTATTATTTTATTCCATTTTTTTAGAGACAGAGGTCTCACTCTATCTCCCAGGCTGGAGTGCAATGATATGATCATAGGTCAGTGTAGCCTCAAACTCCTGGGCTCAAGTAATCCTCCCATTTCAGCCTCTTGAGTAGCTGGGACTCCAGGTGTGTACCATGACTCCTGGCTAATTTTGGTTTAAGTAGAGATACAGTCTGGCTATGTTGCCCAGGCTGGTCTTGAACTCCTGGCCTGAAGCAATCCTTCTACCTTGGCTTCCAAAAGTGTTTGGATTGTAAGTGTGAACCACTGTGTGGGCCCTGGTTTTTGTTTAATGGCTATTAAATGCTCAGAAGTGAATTAAGGTTGCAGTTAAATGCACAATTTTTATATCAAACTATTTTCTTTGCTAATTCACTTCTATCTGCTTCTACCAGCTGTAAACTACCTGAAGCAGAGAAAGTTTCTTTAGGTTGGGGCTTCCTGTAGCCCCGAGCTGAGTGCCTTATGCAGCATTGGCCGAGTGCATGAATTTGTTGGGTGAACTGCTGCGGGGTTTAGAGTCCGCAGAGGGTAGGACAGGACAGATCGTGATCGAGGCTAACCTTCTCATCTACTCTACCATTTCATGCTCTGTTTGGGCACCTCCATCACCCCTCACTTCCCCTGATGGTCCAGTCTCTCTGGGCCTGCACTGTCCAGCCACCCTCTTATCCCTAAGCCAAGGCCTTTGCCAACTAAAGCTCAGGAGTAAAGTGGCCATCACTGAGGCCATTCTATGTATGTATGTATGTATGTATTTAGAGATGGAGTCTTGCTCTGTCACCCGGGCTGAAGCACAATGGTGCAGTCTTGGCTTACTGCAACCTCTGCCTCCCAGGTTCAAGCAATTCTCCTGCCTCAGCCTCCCAAGTAGCTGGGATTATAGGTGCCCGCCACCATGCCCAGCAAATTTTTGTATTTTTAGTAGAGATGGGGTTTCACCCTTTTGGCCAGGCAGGTCTCAAACTCCTGACCTTGTGATCCCCCCACCTTGGCCTCCCAAAGTGCTGGGATTACAGGCATGAGCCACTGCACCCGGCTGACTGAGGCCATTCTAAGGAATATACAGCAAGCTCTTCAGTACCCATTTTTGTTAACTGAGGTATAACTAAATGATACACAGGCCCAGCACAGTGGCACGAACCTATAGTCACAGCAACTTGGGAAGCTGAGGTGGGAGGATTGCTTGAGATCAGGAGTTTGAGTCCAGCCTGGGCAACACACGTGTATAGGTCTATGAGTCTGGAAGAATGTATATAGCCATGGAATCACTACCATGTCAAAACATAGGATATTTCCATTATCCCAAAAAGTTCCCTCCTGCCCCTCTGCAGTCAAACACTTCCCTCCCCCAGCTCCTGGCAACTGCTGATCTGAACTGTAGACCTGAAAATGTCATTCAGAACCCATTTCATCTGGACCCTTCTCTCTGTGTCAACATTGCTGTGAGCGGTGTCTGTGGGATTTTTCTGGACGTTCTCTGCCATGCCCCTGCTCCTTCCTTCCTGCCTTCTGGAAGGCACCCCTGCCAGGAGTCGGCTGCATTAAAGTGGGTGTTTCAGGGGTGTCTTCCTTTACTCTCTTCTCACTGATTTCCAGCTATCCCTGTGTCTCTTGTTTAATGAGTGCCTTCACCCATATCCTTAAACCCACCAGGGCGACCTTCCTGCCCCTTTCTTTGGAGAGCTGTATCTGTATTTCCAGTGGAGACACAGACTGTTCCTTAGATCCTATTAACCCTCTGAGCTCTCTCTCTTCAAGCCAGGCTCATTTCTGGCTTGGCCAATCTGCCTCCTCCCATGTCCTTTCCATGACACGGTGATGGCATCACCAGCCAGTCACCAAGCTAGAACAGTCCCTTCACCCGGCCCCTACTGTAGGAGGATACTTTTAGAGTATGTCTGCAATTCACCCCCCACTCTCTGTATCTACTTCTGTGGCCAAAGTGCGGACCTTGATTTCCTCTGGCCCCAGCTGAATTAACCCACCTCTCTGGGCCTGGTTCTCTTTTCACTAAACATTCTCCACATTGCTGCCAGAGCTATTTTTCTAAAATACACATCAGACCACATTCTTCTCCTCCTTCTTTAAAAACAAAAAATCAAAAAAATAAAAAACCAAGAAACAAACAAAAAACCCACCCTACCGTGGCTCCTCAGTGTGTAGAGATCAGATTCAAGTTCCGTGAGATGGTCTTCAAGATCCTTGGCCATGTGACCCCGTCCTGCTATCCCAATCCCATTCCCATTCCCATCCCCAGCCTCCCCACCTCATCCAACTCCAGCCACATTGGATCACCCCAGGAGAGGATGTCATGTATTAGTACTCTGGTGCCTTTGAGTCAAAACTCACTGTTTTGCCAGTTCAGAGGTTGAGCCCTTTTTGAAGAATCCCCTCTTCTTCCACAGCCCAGGTAAGTTCTACCCCAGGCATAATGAGCTGTTATCCCCCTGGGATCTGAGGGTATTCAGAATACCAACACAATGCTCTCCAGATACCTCTATGCTATTCAAATCCATGCATCTCACACCTGCTCATCTTAAAATCTCTGTGCCTCACATGCAGGAAGAATTCAAATGATGCTGATTGAAAAAACATTGTGTCCAATATTAGATGAAGCATGTAAATATCAAGGCAAGAATCTGCACTTTTTGTCTGTCTATTGCTTGTTTGCACAATAGAGCCACATGGTTTATTATAAAAAATTATTATAATGTATGCTGTTTAAGCTCAGATCACTTTGCACTAATGATGATGATAATGATGGGTTAGAATTTTTTTTCTTTTCTTGCCATGGGATCTGCCAGGTTTTAAGAATTCTTTTTTATTCTAAACCAAATTCAGGAGCACTCCCAAAGACAAGAAATCAAATTTAGGCCACTGATGGTACCAACGGAAGGCTATCACTGTGTAGCTATACCAAATGAAGCCAATCTTCATGGATTTTAAGCACTTTGATAAGCTTTTATATCTCTGCTCATCTCCTTTACCTCCATAGATAACACAAAATAACAGAATAATCAACCAATAGCAACGTAATCCCATCACAACAACATCAAAAATGAGAATTCATATGATTCAGTAATTTCCTAAGCCAGAACTTCCCACCTGATGTGCTGGGGAAGTGAGAGGGTGAGGACTGCTTTCCCCAGCCCTTAGGGTGACTGGGCAGATCCTGTCTGGTGTGAGCATTCAACCCTACTGATTACATCATTTTGGGTGCTATGTGTGACAAAGGTTGACAACCACTGTCCTAAGCCATTCTACCATTTAAATAGACTGAATTCTCCCAAGTTATGTTCTTACTTGCCTTAGGAAGGAAATTAGTATTATGACTCTAAGGATCCTGAACACATGATCTAAAAAAAGAAAAACCCAAAGCACAATGGCAAAGGTAGGTGAGACAGAGTGTTTAGAAAAATAGCGAATACTGTACTATTAATTACTCCCAATTCTCCCTAATCCATGATTTTTAAAGAGCGGGTGGAGCATAACGATTTGAGGCACTGCGACAATGCAGAATGGGGAGGGATTTTGGAAAATGTGACTCACTCACCGTTCCGACCAAAGGGTAAATGAACCCAGCACCTATGCTGGCCCGGACATCACTGATAGGTAAGATGAAGTCCCTTGGCACACCTTTTTTGTCAGGTTGGTGAGACAGAGAAAGATCGGTCTTTGCCATGCAGATGGGCAAATTTCCAAAACCCTGTAAGAAAGGAAAGAAAATGTGTTCACTGATATAGACGTGAGTCTCCTGTGTTTTTCAATTTGCACTTTATACAGTCTCGGCAGCAATGGTATGCCAGCTCAGATCGAGGCACACGCAGGAGCTGCTTGTTACTACTTGTTCACTGAAGAAGCAAGAAGGTGAGGATAAAAACTCATCTCCATGTGATGACTGTTTAGTAGGTCAGGGGTGACTATTGTTTATTTTGGAGGTTCTCGTTAAGAGAAGACAGTGTTATGTGCATGTTTGGGAAAAGCATTGCTATTTGCAGGCAAAGCAGCAGCTGTAGAAACCGCTTTCCAAGACTATTAATATCCGGGACCCAGCAAGGTAGTCTGGAGAAAGGCTCTGCGACTAGGCTCTTAGTCATGTTGTTCACTCATTCTGGAGTCAGTCAAGAAGCAAAGGGTTCCTTTGTGTTGGTTTATGAATCATGGTTATTTGATCTGCAACTACATTACAAGAGCTAAGATGAGGTCACTATTTAAGCTTCTTGTTTTTAAGGACAAAAGTCTATGTCTGACCCAGAGTTCCAAAGGTGAAAGAGCAGGAAGTCACATGTGGTGTCTCACAAAAAGCACAGTGTCCTATAAGCCTGTTTCTGATTAAATGGCACACAGTGTTCCTTTAGAGGCTTTGCTAATTCATTGCAACCACATACTTGGCACTAACTTTAAAAAAAATAAAAATAGAGATGGAGGTTTTGCTATGTTGCTCAGAGTGGTCTCAACTCCTGGCTTCAACTGATCCTCTGCCTTGCCCCCACAAAGTGCTGGGATTACAGGTGTGAGCACCGTGCCTGGTTGACACGACTTTTAAGGAGTATTTCCTTGATAGAGATAAAGGGAATGAAATCTTTAGTCAAATTTTCATAAGACTTAGCCTAAAACTATTTGGAAGATCTTAGAGTCTTATCAACTTAGGGAGGACTTGGGCTTGGGGCCATTTTCTTTTTGAAATCTCCACTCTTCTATACTGATAAGAATTTTGCTGAGTGAGAATCACAACTGCCTTTCAGAATGGTGCCAGAATTTTGAATTTCAGACATGGTTAAATATTAAAGTAATTTCTATAGGTTTGCTAATGTAAAAATTTTGTTAGTAGGCATATTAAAAAGAAACAGAAACCAACCAGTATGCTATATACTGTCACCAGATTACTTCATAAAAGAAATAACATTTTAACACTGAAAGGAGAAAAGACTTAATATTACAATAAATGATAGTCTTAAATATCATTATTAAAAACTCGGGGAATAAAAAACAAAGCAACCTCATGAGAATGACCTTATTTTACTTGGTTCATTGCACATGAATGAAAACTTCACCACAATGCCTAGGCACAGAGCAGTGCTTGGGAATCCTTTTTGTAAAGGGTAAGCCAAGAACATCAGGGAAAATTCTAAGAATTTAGAACTTTCTGAGTTCCTATTTTACCAAACCTAGGAGAACAAATACCCTGGCTGGCAATGGTAGCATTTAACAAAATTTCAAATGGGTTTACAAAAAAGAATAAGGAGTTGGAGATTGTTTTTAAAGATAAGGTCAACACTACCAATCATGAAGCTCTTTAGCCAACAGGCTCTTAAAATGTTCTGACTTCTATCTATCTGATTACACCAAAGTAGGAGGGACACTGGAGGCACATGATCCTTTTGGTAAAAGGTGGCTGAGCCTCCTATAATGGAGTTGATTCATCATGACTGTCACTGGACTAGGTGATGACACATGCTGTCAGATCGTAGCCACCTTCCCAGCTGTTTGCCTACTTGCCTTTCTCAGTGGCTAGAGGTAGAAGATGATGGAGCCTTCAACCTCAGTGGACCAGCTCAGTAAAAAGCCAATGAACCGCTTGCATAAGAACAGCAAACATTCCCATCTTTATAGGCTGCACTCCTATCTGCCTACCCTGGCACCTTGCTAGCATTTTTAAGGTAGTAAGAGGCCTGTAAGGAAGAGGAAGCATTGCAATTCATGCAAATCTGACTCCGCAGCTCTACTCCAAAGGATAGTTTCAACGTTCTGGGCTGAGTGGGAGGGATGAAAGATCACACATCACCTACAAACAGGGATACCACCCATATCAGACACATTTATAGTCACAGAAGTAAATGATGCATGGATCAGAGGATACATGCCTCACCATAAAGTTCTAAATATAGTTTACACTCTACCCGAGGATATTGCTTTCATCTTTGTTAACCAGAAAATAGATTAAGCAAAGGTTAGCTGGTGAGACATGTACAAATCCTCAAGTCAAGCTGAGTATTCTGAGAGCCTAAGGTGAATTTTTTCTTTTCCCCTAAAAGTACAACTTTTACCTGCTGAGTGTAACGATCTATTTTGACTTGTGCCTCAGGACAGAGTTCGATATCTTTGGCTCCATAGACAGCCTGGGCAATGGTCCTTATCTTGTCCACAATTGGAAGCTGCAGAAACACAAATTATAACAAAATTGTGTAAGTTTAATCTGGTTAAAGATTTTTTAAAAAGTTTAGTGACACTTACTGTAATTGCTTAAAATTCCCTTATCAGGGTACCCCCTCAGCAACTGCAGGATTCCTTGCAAACCCTCTTTTTTCCTTTTAGCACCCTAAAGCACTGAAATTTTCAGTGTCAGAATAGATCAGATGTCAACTAGCAAATAAGCCTTAGGTGTTCAGGCAATTTAGAGGCTGCTTAGAGCCCATGTAGAATCTGCAGAGGGAGGCCGGGCACAGTGGCTCACACCTATAATCCCAGTACTTTGGGAGGCCGAGGCGGGTGGATTACCTGAGGTCAGGAGTTCGAAACCAGCCTGATCAATATGGTGACACCCCGTCTTTACTAAAAATCCAAAAAAACTAGCTGGGCTTGGTGGTGCATGCCTGTAATCCGAGCTACTTGGGAGGCTGAGGCAGGAGAATCACTTGAACTGGGAGGCAGAGACTGTGGTGAGACAAGATTGTGCCACTGCACTCCAGCCTGGGTGGAGTAGGACTCTGTCTCAAAAAAAAAAAAAAAATCTGCAGAGGGAAGAGGGAAGTTAGTGCCTTACAGAGGGCTTCTGACTAGGAAGCCCCAGAACTGCGGCCGACCCCTTCCTCTCCCTGCCTCACCCCTGCAGAAAGATCTGCAGAAAAAGCTGGAAGGGGTGGGATGGTGTGTGTGGGGGTGGGGACTGGGGCTATGCAGTTTCCAGACCTGGTCTTTGGCACCCTCTACAGGACAGTTCCATTCCCACACCTGAGCTTTGGACAACTGAATCCTATGCCCCTTCCCACCCAGGGAACCTGGTGCCAGAAATTCCCAGGACTTACCCACCATCCACCACACCACATAGCAAGTGTCCTCAGTGTCTGCAGACCAGAAACAACTCCCTTGTGTCTCAGCACCGGGCCACCTGCTGAAACCCCAAACTGCCTGCCCCATTGTTTGAGACCCAGTCAGGCCTTGGCTCCAAAAGTCCTCTTGGACTGCCACTGGCCCCCAGGGTCTCTCCTGACTGCACCTCGGTCCCGGAGCTCCCACGCCGCTGGGCCCCAAGCCCCATGCCCCGATCCAGCTGTGGCTCCTTTACGGGGGCCTTGCTGGCCTTTCCTAAGGGAGGTGTTTTCCCGAGGGCAGGTGGACTGCTCCTCAGACTAGGGGCCCTCGGAGGGCCAGGCCTGGGCTTCTACCTCCTCTCGCAGGCTGGTGTTTCTCTGCAAATATGGCTCATGTGTCCTCCTTCCTCTCAGACTGGGGGCCCCTGAGGACTGGGCCTGAGTTTCCCTCTCCCCCTTCAGAATGGGGGTTCCCTGAGGACTGACCCAGGGCCTCCCCCCGTCCCCTCCATCTGGCTGTTAATCTCCAACACTTTCACCTCCAGTCCTATTCTGCACAGCGCTCCCCAGCGCTGGGAGCTCAGAGGCCTCTTCAGCCTTCCCCAGGGCTGGGGCTCAGGGAGGGCTTCCTCAGGCGCTGGCCCCAGAGTCAGGCTGCACATTGGCTTGGAGGACAGGCCTTTCCTCTGGGACTGTGAGGCCCAGAGTGCCCACCCAGAACTCCACCTCTGACCTCACAAAGGCCTGCTTCAGAACTCGGTCTCCACTGCACTGCTGGCCAGACGAGGGATGTTAATTTGGGCAGTGCATCTGGACTTGGTTCAAGTGGCACCAGCCAAATCCCTGCCTTACTGACCTCTCCCCTGGAGGAGCAGGAGCAGCGCTCAAGGCCGCCCTGGGAGGGCTGAGAGGCAGGCTCTGGACTGGGGACACAGGGATAGCTGAGCCCCAGCTGGGGGTGGAAGCTGAGCCAGGGACAGTCACAGAGGAACAAGATCAAGATGCGCTTTAACTGAGAAGCCCCCAAGGCAGAGGCTGAGAATCAGAAGACATTTCAGCAGAGTGAGTGGGGCTCCAGGCAGGGTGGGGATGGGGCAGCCTCCTCAGTGCCCAGATCTGGAAGGGCCATTCCCTGGGTACCATACAGCGAGGAGGTGACTGAGGGATTGTTTGGGGAAGGAGCCCCGGCTGGGAGTGGAAGTCCCGGCTTTCTTGTTATGGTGCAGTCCTGTGTTGCTGTGTGACACAGGCACATACACCTTCTCTCTGGGCCTCAGTTTCCTTACCTGTAAGTTGGTTGTTGGGAGGACCAGCGGTAGAGCAGAGATGGCAGGGATGCACTGGGCTGGGCTGTCAGCAGACCATGGGGGTGGGACGAGGAGAGAGCTGAAGACCACCGGCAGTGGACCACAGGGGGAGGCATGCAGGCCAGAGACGGGTCAGCTGCCGGCTTGCTGGAGTCATTCCTCCCACGCAGTCCCCTCCTGAGGGGCTGGAGCTGGGGCTGGAGGGTTTCAGCAGTCAGGGCTGGAGATAAGAGTCTGTGCTGGAGCTAGAGGGAACTGGGCTAGAGAATCAGGAGGACAGACAGGGTGAGGGGACTTCGGGCTACCTTCATGCTGTCAGTTAGAGATAAAGATAGGAGTACAAAGGGGAATTTTTGGGTGAGGTACACGGGTGAAATGAGTTTTCAGGGCCTCATCCTGTGTGTTCACCTTCTGTGTGTGTGTGTGTGTGTGTGCATGCGTGCATGTATGTGTGTGTGCAGGTCCTGGACAGTCACAGCTTAAGTTAGCAGCAAGAGAACTTGAGGTTAAAGGTATAGCACGCAAATATGAGGCTGGAGCCACTGAGTAGAGGCTGAGGGCATCTCCACAGTCCAAAGCTGGGCTGCAGACAGGGAAGGTCAGCAGGAGCACTGGAGGGTCTGGCCTGGGGTTGGGGTCCTGGGGCCAGCATGGGTGGGGTGGGGCTCCAGGGCGTCGCCTCATTGGCTGAGCACCGCTCCTCCCTCCCTGTTCCTTGGCTGGGTTAAGGGAGTGGCACTAGCAGGAGCTGCCCCAGGGCTTCTCCCCTGGGGACAAAGATCTGATGGAAGTGTGGGGCCAAGTTCTGTGTCCTCCAGCCCTAGTGACCTCTCTTTGGCTCCTCAGCATCTACAAATCTGAAGGACAAAACATGGTTCAAGCATCTGGGCACAGGCGGTAAGTACCCCCACCCTCTTCTCACCCTCCAACCCCCTGTCCTCCACCCAGCCCACTTCAGTGCCCTCCCTGCTCCATCCTCAGCCTCTCCCTTGGGGCAGCTGTCCCCCCTCGACCTCCTCCTCCCCACCCACCCACTCGCCTCTGAGGTCCCAGAAGAAAAGCATCTTCCACCTGTTGCCTGGGCTGGGTCCTGGGGTGAGGGGAGGCTCAGAAATACTTGGATGAGGGTCAAGGCATGCAGGTGGCCTTCAACTCAACTGCACTCAGCACCTCTCACCCTCTCAGGCTCAGCTGTCTTTGGGGTGAAAAAGAGCCAGTCCTTGCAATGGCCAAGGCCCTGCCTATGTAGTCCTTGTTAGCTTTCTGGCCTCCCCACTCCAGCCCCCTGCTCTCCCTCCTCCAGCCACACTGAGTTTCTTTTCTGGTTTTTTTTTTCTTTTCTTTTCTTTTTTTTTGAGATGGAATCCAGTTCTGTTGCCCAGGCTGGAGTGCAATGGCAAGATCTTGGTTCACTGCAACCTCCTTCTCCCGGGTTCAAGCGATTCTCTTGCTTCAGCCTCCTGAGTAGCTGGGATTACAGGATTACAGGCACACACTACCATGCCCAGCTAATTAGTTGTTTGTTTGTTTGTTTGTTTGTTTGTATTTTTAGTAGAAATGGGGTTTCGCCATGTTCGCCAGGCTGTTCTTGAACTCCTGACCTCAGGTGATCCACCCACCTCGGCCTCCCAAAAGGTTGGGATTACAGGTGTGAGCCACTGCACCTGGCCTCACACTGACTTTCTTTGCTTTCTTCAAACATGCTGAGAGTCCTCTGGTGACTATTCCCTCCATCTGAGAGGCTTTCTGCAGTTAACATACAGCCCACTCTCATCTCCTTCATGGCTTTGCTCCAAGGCCACCTTCTCAACAAGGATTACTCTGACTGCCCTATTTGAAATCACACCCCATCTCCAGCCCCTGCACTCCCAATTCCCCTCTCCTTGCTCTGTTTTTTCCCATAGGAGCTGGTACCTTCGCTTATACAAATGTACTTACTTATTACATTTCATTGCTGTCAGCTCCACGCAAGCAGGGATATTTGCCTGTTGTACACTTGCACGGAGAGAATGAATAGTGCCCCTCTGTTGACATCATTGCCTCTAGCCTACGTCTCTTTCCAGGGCTTTAGATCCTGTTTCTAGAGACCCACTGGTGTCTCACAGGCAACTCAGCTCCTAGATGGAAACAGCCTCCTCCGCCCCCCACAAGTCCACTCCTCCTGTGCTCTTGGCTCAGTCAGGGGTCCCCTTCTCTTCAGTTGCTCAAGCCAGAAGTCAAGGTCATGTCCTTGATACTTCCCTCTTCCCCATGCCTCACATCCAGTCACCAATCTCCTAAAATATCTAGAATGTGCACAGCTTCCACCATTCTTTCTACCACCACCCTACTCCCCCATGGCCATGTCAGGCCACCACCCGCCCATTCTTCAAAACTCCCTTCAGGCCTCACCTCCCATGCCTCCCCTGAGTTCCCCCAGTCCCAGGCTGCTTCTCTCTGGTGGTGTTGCCATTACCCATCTCTTCTATTAAACAGAGTGACCCAAGAGTGGAGAGTGGGTTTTGACTTTGTATCCCTGGTGCTTGACTCATAAGTAGGTGCTCAACAAAAATTTTTTCTTTTTTTGAGATGGAGTCTTGTTCTGTTGCCCATGCTGGAGTGCAGTGGCATGATCTCGGCTCACTGCAACTTCTGCTTCTTGGGCTCAAGCGATTCTCACATCTCAGCCCCCACCCCAGCTGGGATTACAGGTGCCTGCCACCACGCCCAGCTAATTTTTTTTTTATTTTTAGTGGAAATGGGGTTCTGCCATGTTGGCCAGGCTGGTCTTGAACTTCTGACCTCAAGTGATCCACCTGCCTCGGCCTCCTGAAGTGTTGGGATTACAGGCATGAGTCACCATGCCTGGCCAACAAATGTTTGTTGAATGAAGAAATGTTGGTTAGCAGGTTGAATTGTTGGCTCGTGGTTAGTTGGATAGTTTATGGTTGACTGGTTGATTAGATAATTCAATGAGTTAATAGCTGGTTAACAGGAGAATCAGTTAGTTGGTTTTTGATAGGTTAGTCAAAGGGTTAATAAGCCACCGGGCATGTTGGCTCATGCCTGAAATCCCTGCACCTTGGGAGGCTGAGGCTGGAGGATTGCTTGAGTCCAGGAGTTTGGGACCAGCTTGGGTAACATGGCAAAACCCCATCTCTACAAAAAATAGGAAAAAATAGCCAGTCATGGTGGCATGCTCCTGTAGTCCCAACTACTTGGGAGGCTGAGGTGGGAGGATCACTTGAACCCTGGGAAGTCTAGGCTTCAGTGAGCTGTGACTGTGCCACTGCACTTCAGCCTGGGCGACAGAGTGAGACCCTGTCTCAAAAAAAAAAAAAGAAAAAGAAAAAGAAAAGAAACAGGCGTTAGTGAGTTGTTAGCTATTTAGTTCCTTGGTTAACAGATTACTTAGGGGATCTGGTTGGCTGTCAGTTTCTTGCTTTGTAGGCTGGCTTTCTTGGGCCCCTCTTCTTAGTCTGTACCCTCTCCTTGAGCTCTCTCATCTATGCCCATGGCTCAGATGACCATCTGTGATTTGCTGTCCTCCAAATGTGTCTGTAAGTGAGACCACATGACCAGCTGCCTCCTCACTGGCCATCCCACCCAAGTGTCTAGCAGGCTCCTCACACTCAACATGTCCAGAAAGGGCCTCCTTGTCCATTCTTCCACAGCTTCTCTGCTGTGCCCCACGCTAGTCATTCCGCTGCCCTAGCCAGGACCTGAGGGCATCGCTGAGCTGCCCGCTCCCTTCCCTCTCTAACCGAACACCAAGCCTGTCAGCTTGACTGTGTTCTTGTGGCCATTGGCACTGCCATCCTTGTGGCTCAGACTGCCACCACTTCTCCACCCATCTGTGGAGAAGCTGATGCTCACCCTGCCTCCACTCCACTTCCTCCATCCTGGCCTCCACAGGGGAGGCAGCTCTCCTGCTGAAACCCTCCACTTGGCCCATGGCCCTCTGGTAGAGTTCAGACTCCCTAATGTGGGCCATGAGGCCTTCTGCCACCTGGCCCTGGCCCCTCTCTGCCCATCTCATGCCACCTCCACTCCTCCGTGGCCAGCCCATTCCTGCACATTGGATACTGCCTTAGCTGCAGGCCTTTGCACATGCCAGTCCTACGCCCAGAGTGATCCCTGCCTCCCTGGAGGCTCCTTTACCCTCCAGCCTTCTTTTCTTGACCTGAATTTCCCTTTCTCTGGGAGCCTCCTACCCCCTCCTCTAGGCCATTCACTTCCTCCACATGCCCCACAGTGCCCACTCTTTCAGCTGGGGCAATGCTCATCACACTGCATAGTAATTGCTCAATTGATTGCTTTTCTTCCCACAGGCTGGATTGTACCAGTGTCCTTTACTGCAGTGACTGAACATTCTAGGCACAGTAGATTCAAGAAATCTTGAGTTCATTGGCTGGTTGGTGGTTATCTGTTGCTTACTGTGTCTTGCCTGCTGTGTGGTGATGAGGAAGGAGCCAGGCTTCCAGGATTCTCTTGGTGTTCTTGTCTTTCCGCTCTGTCCACTTCTCTCTCCTCTTCTGTGGTTACCTCCAGCATGGGAGGTGGGGTTGGATGGGAGCCAGTGGAGGGTCACCTCGCCCTGCTAGGGAGAGCAGCAGCATTCCTCAGGGCTCCTAAATTCCCCTGACCTCACAGCAGCAAAAAGTAAGCAGAGGGAATGAGAGACGTCCAGGCATGGAATAAAACATCTTCCACTTTTCAGCTGAGACCCTCTGTTCATGGCTCACCCATCCCAGTCCTTGCTCTATTCCTTACTCCAGAGAAACAAAACCAGGGATGAGTAGATGGAGGGGGATGCAGAGTTGCGCGGATATTCCACTGGCCCCCATCCAACTCCAGCTCCCATGCAGCATCGTATGGGGGTCTCATTATCCCATGACCAGCCTCCTCAGCCCTGAAGAAGAGACCCTATCAATGCAAGCAGCAGCCCAAAGACAGTCCTGGGAAGGTACCATAGAGGCAGGGGAGAGGTAGACAGAGCAGGGAGCCAAGAACACCAAGGGAATCCTGGAAGCCTGGCTCCTTTCTCATCAGCACAGAGCAGGCAACAACCAGCCAAGGAACCAAAGATTTCTTGAATCTACTATGCCTACTATGTTCAGGCACTGCAGTGAAGCAAACTGGTATGATCCCAGCCCTTAGGAAGAAAAACCGTTAATTAATTAAGCTTTTTTTTTTTTTCTTTTTTGAGACAGGGTGTCGCTCTGTCACCCACGCTGGAGTGCAGTGGTGTGATCTCAGCTCACTGCAACCTCTGCCTTCTGGGCTCAGGCAATCCTCTCACATCAGCCTCCCCATTAGCTGGGACCACAGGCGTACACCACAACACCTGACTAATTTTTGTATTTTTTTTTTTTTGTAGAGATGAGGTTTTGTCATACTGCCCAGGCTGGTCTTGAACTCCTGGGCTCAAGCGATCAGCTCGCCTCAGCAAGTGCTGGGATTACAGGCGTGAGACACTGTGCCTGGCCTAACTGAGCAATTACTATGCAGTGTGATGAGCATTGCCCCAGCTGAAAGAGTGGGCACCGTGGGGCATGTGGAAGAAGTGAATGGCCTAGAGGAGAGGGTAGGAGGCTCTCCCAGAGAAAGGGAAATTTAGGTCAAGAAAAGAAGGCTGGCGGGTAAAGGAGGCTCTGGGGAGGCAGGGGACCATTCTCGGTGTAGGACTGGCATGTGCAAAGGCCTGCAGCTAAGGCAGTACGTGATATGCAAGGATGGGCTGGCCAGAGGAGTTGAGGGGCTGGTGTCAGCTTCCGGGCATGCAGACAGTGAGATAGCAGAGTGACTAAGGCCACACTTAGAGGTATCTGTATCCCTCTTCTTCCTCTTTTTTTTTTTTTTTTTTTTTTTTTTTTGAGATGGAGTCTCGCACTTGTTGCCCAGGCTGGAGTGCAGTGGCAAGATCTCGGCTCACCACAACCTCCATCTCCCATGTTCAAGTGATTCTCCTGCCTCAGCCTCCGAAGTAGCTGGGATTACAGGCATGCGCCACCATGCCTGGCTAATTTTGTATTTTTTAGTAGAGATAGGGTTTCTCTATGTTGGTCAGGCTGGTCTCGAACTCCTGACCTCAGGTGATCTGCCCACCTTGGCCTCCCAAAGTGCTGGGATTATAGGCGTGAGCTACCGGGCCCAGCCCCTCTTCTTCCTCTTTATCCTCCAGTCCCACCCCGCCACCTTCCCCAAACTCCAGTCCTATACCTCTCCCTATACGCAGATTTGGAACCTGTTACTCACCTGTTTCATCTACCTTTCCATCTAACCGTGCACTTAACTAAATACAAATCAAGTGCCAGGCCCTTTGGCAAGCTCTGAGGATCTAGTTGGGAGTAAGACAGATTCCCCAGTTTTCACCCATTCAACAAATACTTATTGCACATCTACTATGTGCCTGGCATGGTGCTGGGCACTGAAGATACACCAGGAAGTAGATCCAGTCCTTCCTTTTCTCCCTCCCGCTCTCTTGGTCATTCATTCATTCATTCACTCACTCTCTCACAAACCTCTGTTTGTACTGACCTGGTTGCACAGCCTGGTGCATTTTGCTGACCCCTTCATTTTTGACAGAACCTGGCACATGTTTCAGTGCTCAGTGCTGTTTACAGAGCTCGGCAGCAGACTTTGTCACACTTCATGCTGTTTGTAGAGTGCCTCACTGTTGCCAGGCCCTGGCCTGTGACCCCAAAGTTCTGGCTCTAGCAGATAGGCAGACAGACAGATGGACAGACATAGACTACTGAGCTCTACTTTCCAGCCTGCTCTCTCCCACCCTACTTTTTCCCAGAGGCTTGTTGGCACCGTGGATTGCACTTTCAGCTCCCCACCTGTCCGTCTGCAAAGTGGCCTCATTGGTGTGCCATTTTTACTGGTCCAGTCCCAACTACAAGGGGCATGGCTTGGCCATCTACCCCAGTTCCTCTCCATGTCCCCATGGCTCTCAAGTGTCTCCAATTCCAGCTGTCCCAGCTGCCCCGGGCAAGAGGAGGTGTGTGTGGCAAGTCTGCTGGGTTACCTATTAACTCAGCTGTGAGTTGAAGAGCCGATGGGCAGCAGGCAGACTTGAGTCTCCTTTCTGTCCATGAGCTCGGGCCACTGTATCAGGTCCACCCGTGGCTCCAAAATGGTCTCCTGGTCCGTGATAGCAAAGATCCAGGAAATATGATGCGAGGAAGATGAGAGGAAGATGGCGCGAGAGTTCCTGGCCGAGTTCATGAGCACATATGTCATGATGGTGAGTGGGCGGGCAGCACGAAGTGGGTGGGCTCTGCCAGGGCCTTCCATGACCCCCTCCCCATTCTGACCCCATGGGTCACATTGTCCATTCCTTGCCTCTGAGCTGGGAGCCTGGGGAAGCAGCGAGGAAAGTAAGGGGGGGGGGGCTTTCTCATCAAGTCTTTTTCGACAGAAAGGGCTCATAATATGTGGGGGTCAAATGAAACCATGCACTGGGGTATCCGGGGCAAGGCTGGAAATGGGGAGAAGGGAAACCCAGAGTAAAGAGATTGAAGAGGCCCAGGTGCAGTGGCTCATGCCTGTAATTCCAGCACTTTGGGAGGCTTAGGCAAGTGGATCACCTGAGGTCAGGAGTTCGAAACCAGCCTGGCCAACATGGTGAAACCCCGTCTCTACTAAAAATACAAAAATTAGCTGGGCATGGTGGCGGACACCTGTAACCTCAGTTATTCAGGAGGCTGAGGCAGGAGAATCGCTTGAGCCCAGGAGGTGGAGGTTGCAGTGAGCTGAGATCACACCATTGCACTCCAGCCTGGGTGACAGGAGCAAAACTCTGTCTCAAAAAAAAAAAAAAAAAAAGAAAAAAGAGAGAGAGATTGAAGAGAAACTTGATGATCAGGCTCTGATAATGAATCCAGAGGGCAATGGGCGATGTTGAAGGCTGGCAAGCAGGGGAGTGACATGATCAGATTTGGATTTTAAAGGTAATTTTGGGTGCAGTGTGGAGCATAAGCAGGACAGGCAAGGCTGGCAAGAAGGAACCAGTTAAGAGGCTGTTTTTGATCTGGGACAGAGAGAGGGTGATGACTGATCTGGGGTTGGAGAAGAAAGCACATGTTTGAGAGGGCTGTGGAAGATGGAATCGGGGAGACTCTGCCAGAAGAACATGTGGGCAAAGCGCCGATGAGCTGTTCTGGAGCACGGGGCCCAGCACAGGGTGAGAGGCAAGATGCCTGTAGGGAAATCCAGGAGATAGTTAAACACAGGCAAGGGGCTGGAGCTCAGGAGAGGCTTGGTCTGGAAGGAAAAAGTTGAAGTTCATCACAACACAGGTGGTGGTTGTCAACACTGTCTAGAAGGAGTGTACAGAAAGAGAAAAGGATGGTTTGAGGACAGAGCCCTGAGGAATGAAGAGGGGCACGCAAAGGAGCCTGAGAAGGAATGGTCAGAGAGGTGGGAGGAGAACCAGAGCCGACTGCATGACAGAGGGGGGCAGTGGTTCCACCAGGAAGAAGCCATCAGCGGCATGGGCAGCGGCAGATGGGCCACGCAAGGTGAGCACTGGCAAGGGGCCTTAGGGTTTGCCAATGTGGAGGTTGCTGGTAACCTTGACAAGGGCTCTTCTTTAGTGTGTGATTGGGACAGAATCCAGACTGCAGGTGGGATGTGAGGTTGCTCCCTCTCCACCTGCTTCAGCCCTGCCACTTACCCCAGTGAGCCTCTGCCCTTAACATGACTGTAGCCATGTTTATTGCATCTTATGCAGGGTCCAGGGTCTAGAGAAAGAAGGGGCAGCCTCTGGGAAGGGAGGCAAAGGCAGCCAGGTGCATGCTAGAGGAAGGTGGGGTGACAGAGGCTGTTCGTGTGTGTGGTGGGGCCCATGGAGCTCAAGGGAGAGAGGAAATTGGAACACCAGGTTTCTTAGCCTGACCCTGCCACTGAGTGACCAGTTGCCTTGGGCAGGTCTCTCCCTGGCTTAAAGCCTGACTTCTCACTTATATCGTGTAGAATTAGGCCTTCGTGGGCTTTGGAGCTGTGTTTGAATCCTAGCTCTGTTATCTTCTAGCTGTGCGACTATCCACAAGTATCTTAACTGTTCACAAATTTAGCTTTCTTGTTTTTGAGACAGGGTCTCACTCTGTCTCCTAGGATGGAGTGCAGTGGTACGATCTCAGCTCACTGCAGCCCCCACCTCCCATACTCAAGTGACTCTCTTGCCTCAGCCTCTTGAGTAGCTGGGACTACAGGCATGTGCCACTGTGCTCAGCTAATTTTTCTATTTTTAGTAGAGATGGGGTTTCACCATGTTGGCCAGACTGGTCTCGAACTCCCGAATTCAGGTGACCTTCCTGCCTCGGCCTCCCAAAGTGCTGGGATTGCTGGCGTGAGTCACCTCTCCCGGCCCACAACTTTAGCTTCCTTATTGGTTAACAGGAGGACTTGTGTGAAGAAGGCCAAGTCTCAGCACCCAGTGTGGTACCCATGTATTGGTCCCTTGTTATTAGGACGGGTGCTCTAGCTGCTGTCTCCTCTCTGTCTCTGGCCCTCCCCTACTCCTCTCTTACCTCCCCACCTGCTTTGGCTCCTGAGCTGTGAGGACAGCAGTTGGATCCTGTCCCTCCTTAATCCAGGGCAAAGTAATTCACTTACCACAAGACATTCCAGCCCCATGAGGGCTGTTAACCCTTGGAGCCTCGGAGGCAGGAGGGTGCATCCTCTGAGAGCTGTTAGGGAAATAGGCACCGCCCACATGCTTGATACCTGCCCACATCTGTGTTCCTCTTCCTTTTGCTGAGATTTTCATTGAGCACCTAATGCATCCCGGGCTCTGTGATGCTAAGCCCCTTACGTGCAGCATCTTCCCAAATCCTCGCAATAGCCCTGTGAAGTAGGTACTATTGTTATCCCAGTTTCACAGATGGGAAAACTGAGGCTCCTTGAGACTAAGCCTTTTGCCCAAGGTCACACTTTAAGTCAAGATTAAATCCAGTGCAGTCTAATATCACAGTCTTTTTTGTTTTTGTTTTTGTTTTTTTGAGATACAGTCTTGCTTTGTCACAGTGGTGCAATCTCGGCTCACTGCAACCTCTACCTCCTGGGTTCAAGCGATTCTTGCATCTCAGCCTCTGGAGTAGCTGGAATTACAGGTGCATGCCACCATGCCCAGCCAATTTTTGTATTTTTAGGAAAGACAAGGTTTCACCAAGTTGTCAAGGCTGGTCTTGAACTCCTGACTTCAAGTGATCCTCCCACCTCGGCCTCCCAAAGTGCTGGGATTACAGGCATGAGTCACCGTGCCCAGCCCAATATCACAGTCTTGACCCTTAACCTCTATGCTCTGTACCTTAGCTTAAATATTGCCAGCTTTTAAAGACTGGCTTGTTAATGCTCCCCCAGCCAGGGTAAAGTCCTCACTTTCAGGTAGTTCAAGATGCCTCTCTCGGCCTCAGTTTCCCCATTTATAGAGTGGGAGAAAAATTCTTGCTGTGCAGATTTGTTGTGAGGATTGAAGACAGTAGCACTTGTAAAAGAACTTTGTGAGGCGTAAGCCTATATCGGATATTGTGGTGTTGTTATTTTTAGTTGCCAGGCTGTGCCAAGAAGTGAGGGCTTTTTTTTTTTTTTTGTAAATATATATATAGGAATCTCAGTGAGTCACCAGGGTGAAGTTTTGCCAAAAAAGCTAGTGTGACCTTGGCCCCATTTATTGCAGCCAGGACAAGGGAAGTGGACTGATCCGTGTTGCAGCTTCCAGGTGTGTTGCCCTTGGAGCTGGCCTCCTGGCTGTGGGGGAGAGTTGGATGGGCTGGGCCACATTCACTGATCAGGGAGAGGAGGGGCTGGAGCCATCCGGGCCCTGGAAAACCAGCCATACACATGAGACACGGGGCAAGGGTTGTAGATCACATGCTACGGGGGCCAAGAGAGCGGCAACTCAGGGCGGTGGGGACTTTGGCTGGCTGCAGAGTGCCAATCTGTGCAAGGCTGTAGAGCTGCTGCCACTCCAGCTGACTGTTGCCATGGAGGGTGGAATGCAGGCCAGTGTTGCTTGAGCTGCTCATTTTTCAAGAGAGATGAAAACTTCTGTTCTTCAAAACCAAGTTATCTAAACAAAATCTGTGCGCTGGATGAATTAGGTGCATGAGTTGCCAGTTGGCAACCCTGACACAAGGAATCATGTGGGGTTCATTCACTCACCCAGTATTTTATTTTATTTATTTTATTTTTTTGAGACAGAGTCTCACCCTGTTGCCCAGGCTGGAGTGCAGTGGTGTGATCTCAGCTCACTGCTCTGCCTCCCGGGTTCAAGTGATTCTCCTGCCTCAGCCTGCCGAGTAGCTGGGATTACAGGCATGTGCCACCACACCTGGCTAATTTTTTGTATCTTATTAGAGACGGGGTTTCACCATGTTGGCTAAGCAGGTCTCAAACTCCTGACCTCATGATCGGCCTGCCTCGGTCTCCCAAAGTGCTGGGATTACAGGCGTGAGCCACCACACCCGGCCTATGCTCATCCAGTATTTTTAGCACATGGTATTGGAATGCGGGAAAGGCCATGGGGGCCCCTCTGTTTTCAGACCCTCCATGCCTCCTCCAGTCCCTCTACCTCTTGACCCTGCCAGCCTGTCAACCTGTCCTGACCTCACTCCCCCCTGCACCCCCATCTGTTCCTGTCCTCTCCTGCTGTATCTTATCCTGGATCTGAAGCCAGCCTAGCTCTGGGCTCCCCTGCTCCTGTCCTGGGGCTTCTGAGGGACCCAGTGGGCCCTGCTCAGCTGCCTCTCCCCCACCATATCTGGGCTATTTCACATTTTCTCAGACTTCCCCAAAGCTGCTCTGTACTCTTTTTTTTTTTAAATCAGCAAATGGCTTGATCTGCTGCTTGATAGGTAAAATAATCAACACTTCCTATGTTCAGCTCACCCTCTTGTCCCTCTTACCACCAGACCCATTAACCACCCGTGTATCCACATATCACCCCTTGGCTGGGGTGGGGTCCTCTCCTTCCTGGAGGACACCTCCACTTCTGCACCAATCCAGCTGTCCAGCCTATTCAGGTACTTTACTCTGTCCTTTTTCTCTGTCCTTTATCTTCAGCCCATCCCTCTCTCAGCCTATAAACATACTGAAGTTTCTCCACTGAAAACAACACAAAATGAAACATCCCTCCCTTCACCCTGTCAGCCCCTTCACGGGATCATGTTCTCTCTTCCCCGCTCCTCAGGCGAATTCTCGAAGAGGAGTCTACACTGGTGCCTTTCAACTCTTTTTTTTTTCTTTTTTTGAGATGGAGTCTTGCTCTGTCGCCCAGGCTGGAGTGCAGTGGTGTGATCTCAGATCACTGCAAGCTCCACCTCCTGGGTTCAAGCAATTCTCCTGTCTCAGCCTCCTGAGTAGCCGGGATTACAGGCAAGCACCACCATGCCTGGCTAATTTTTGTATTATTAGTAGAGACGGGGTTTTGTCATGCTGGTCTTGAACTCCTGACCTAAAGTGATCCATCCACCTCGGCCTTCCAAAGTGCTGGGATTACAGGCATGAGCCACCGCACCCGGCCTGGTCTGCCTTCTTACCTTGTACCCTCTCCTGGGGCCTTCTCCTCTGTCGGCTTTGACTTTGGCCCTTATGTCTACAATTCTTCAGGTTTTCTCCTTTATCAACTCTAGAACAGAGTTCTCCAGGGGAAATACAATACAAGCCATCTGTATAATTTAATTTTTTCTAGTATCCACATTAAAAAGGTAAAAAGCAACAGGTGAAATTAATTTTAATAATTAACCCATATAGCCAAAATCCTATTTCAAGATGCAATCAATGTAAAATTATTAGGATATTCTGGCCAGGCATGGTGGCTCACACCTGTAATCCCAGCACTCTGGGAGGCTGAGGTGAGAGGATTGCTTAAGGCCAGGAGCTCGAGACCAGCCCGGGCAACATAGTGAAACCTCATCTCTACACAAAATAAATTGAAAAACTTAGCTGGGATAGGGCTCAATGGCTCATGCCTGTAATCCCAGCACTTTGGGAGGCCAAGGCAGGCTGATCATCTGAGGTCAGGTGTTTGAGACCAGTCTGGCCAACATCGTGAAACCCTGTCTCTACTAAAAATACAAAAAAATAGTTGGGCATGGTGGCATGCACCTATAATCTCAACTACTCGGGAGGCTAAGGCAGGAGAATCACTTGAACCCGGGAGTTGGAGGTTGCAGTGAGCCGAGATTGCGCCATTGCACTCTGGCTTGGGCGACAGAGCAAGACTGTCTCAAAAAAAAAAAAAAAAAAATTGGCTGCGTGTCGAGGCACATGCCCATAGTCCCAACTACTTGAGAGGCTGAGGTGGGAGTATCACTTGAGCCCAGGAGATGGAGGCTGCAATGAGCCCTGATCATGGCACTGCACTCCAGCCTGGGTGATAGAGCAAAACCCTATCTCAAGCATCAAACAAACAAACAAATAAAACAGAGGCACAAGAAAGCAAGGCATGCATGGAGCAGCGCAGTTGTTTGGTTTGAGGCCATCTGGCACAGGTAACTGCCTGGATTTAATCCTGGCTCACCATGTACAGGCTGTGTGACCTTGGACAAGCCATTCAAGTTCTCTAAGCTTCAGATTACCCATCTGTCAAGTGGGGGAG